>NC_000006.12:120222305-120525335 GCF_000001405.40 Homo sapiens
GATACTGCAGGCAACTCATGAGTGAAAGGGATCAAGGGTATCTATTTCCAAATTTTCTGATCAATTGGTCAAAGTATCTTTTCATGTTGCATATCATTTCAGTGGTCTGCTATTCTTCTAAGAGTTTCCCTTCTCCATCTTGCTATAAATATTGGAATTTTCATCATTTTTTCCTTTCTTTTTGGTAGTTTTCTCCCAAAAGGCTAAGCAACTTAGAGTTAGGGATGCAATACAAATCAGGAAAGGGCAAGACAGCTGTTATGAACTGTAACATTGTGCACCGGGAATTGTAAGTTTTCTCTGGGAGAGAGAGGGATTCATTTTTGACATAATGTATCTGATACAAATTGACAATAGAAATGAGTGAAATACTCAGGAATCACTAATGCTTGACTGTTCTCCTGCCCAACTGTGAATAATAATGTATTCCTTGGATAGGTGTTTATTCCCTGAATAAGTGAGAGCTTGACCTGATTTAGCAGGAAATCCCATCCTAGTGAGGAGACTCTAGAAATAATTTGCTCTTCTCTCACTGACTCTTTGGTGTACTGAAGGTTAGGATATTGTCAAAGGTAAACCCACAAAATGTCTTGGTGAGCAGTGTGTCCAAAAACCTACCTCAATCTCTGGTTTCACTTGTATAGATTATGATGCTTCAGCCACATGAACAATAATCCTTGCTTCAAGTTGCCTTAAATAAGAAAGCTATTTATTATCTCATGTATCAGAAAATCAAGAGGTAGGATGGTTTGGAGGTTTATTTAATTCAGTCACTGTTATCCACAAGGATCCAGGTTATTTTTATCTCTCCACTCTGCTGGCCTCAACGTTGGTTTTATCATCAGGCATAAAGCAATACTTTCAGATATCCTATCCAGATACAAACATCAGAAAATAGAAGATATAGTATCTCTTAATGAGGATATCACTTTTAATAACTTAAAATATTCTTAGAATCTACTCCAGCAGTCTCCCTCTCATACATCTACTGGTGAGAACTGGGTCATATACCCACTTTTTAAATCAAGAGTTAGCAAGAGGAATGGGATTATATTAGAACAATCATGCCCATCGATTGGTCTAATGCTTATTGAATGGTGCTCACCATGCTCCCTTGGACTTAGTGAGTACATATCGGGTAATTCCTAATGAGTGCAAAGTCTTCTATCCTAGATAGTTTTTTCTAAACTTGGTAGATGCCCTCCTCCTTGCTATGTCAGGAATAATCTTTCCAGACCCATTCCATCAGTAAGGACCTTCACGGCCCTTTTCATGAAACTAAAAGGGAATGAGAATAAGAGAACTGTGTGATGAGAGGAAAAAAAATATTGAAATAGAAAGTAATTTATTACTGCCTTTTTGAGTGTTTTGTATATATTTGGAACAATTAGGAAAACTAGTCAACTTTTGCTCCCATTGTGTTTGCTGCTACTTTACGGAAAGGTGAGCAAATGTATGTACATTGATGGATTTTTTAAAAAAATATAAAAGATCATTGAAATGGAATGTTATGATTTCATAAACAGGCATCCAATTATATAGTAATATTTTAAATAGCATGATGACTTATTTAAAAATATTTCTTTGGAATGAATAATAATTCTCTGTAATGCTATCCAAAATATGTTTTATGTTATAGCAAAATATTATGTTGCTTTTAAAATACACCAAATTCTGGCTGGGTGCAGTGGCTCACACCTGTAATCCCAACATTTTTGGAGGCCGAGGTGGGTGGATCACCTGAGGTCAGGAGTTTGAGACCAGCCTGACCAATATGGTGAAACCCTATCTCTACTAAAAATACAAAAATTATCTGGCACGGTGACATGCACCTGTAGTCCCAGCTACCTGGGAGGCTGAGACAGGAGAATTGCTTGAACCCAGGAGGCGGAAGTTGTAGTGAGCTTAGATCACACCACTGCACTCCAGCCTGGGCGAGAGAGTGAGACTCTGTCTCAAATAAATAAATAAAAACAAAAAATTAAAAAAAATACACCAAATTCTTTCCATTAGTCCCATCTTAAATACAAGTAAGGCTGGGCGTAATGGCTCATGCCTGTAATCCCAGCACTTTGTGAGGCCAAGGTGGGAGGATCACCTGAGGTCAGGGGTCCTAGAGCAGCCTGGCCAACATGGTGAAACCCCGTCTCTACTAAAAATACAAAAATTAGCTGGATGTCGTGGTGTGCACCTGTAGTCCCAGCTACTTGGGAGGCTGAGGGAGGAGAATTGCTTGAATCCAGGAAGCGGAGGTTGCAGTAACCCATGATCGCACCATTGTACTCCAGCCTGAGCAACAGAGCAAGACTCTGTCTTAAAAAACAAAACAACAACAAAATACAAGTAAGCTCTTTTAAACTTTGAACATTTAATTATGTCTTGTAGTTGGGTTTCATAGAAATATTATAAATTTTTTTGGTTACTATATTTCATGAAGTGTTTGGATAATTATCTGGAGGAATTTTCATTCTTTTGTCACTTAAAGGATGATGGAAAATTGTTTAATATTTTAGCAATGTCATTAGAGTGTTTATATTTTTTCATAATCATAAGGATGTCTCAAGGGGTAAGTTATTTTTAAGAGTGCTGTAGAGGTGGGAATTTTTAAGATCTGGATGAATCTTTGCTTCAAGTAGCTTACAGATTGCTACTAAAACATTTATATGTATTTTATATGAGCAATAGATATAATTTTGGAGGCTAATAAGGTAGATGGAAATAATATGTGAGGAAAGCTATAATGATTTCTGATGAATTAGACTTAAGAAGAATTCTAAAGTACACTTTAGACTCTGAAGAGAGCTAATCTTCTTACAAAGGAAGATGGACAGTTCACGTATGGTTTAAAAGGGTATGATGCTATTAAAATTAATAAGAGAATTTAGCAATATCTCAGAATACAAAGGAAATATATAAAAATCAGGTGTATTCTCTATTTTAGAAACAAGCAATCAGAAAATAAATTTTAAACCATTATTTCAAAAATATCTATGAAAACAAGGAATGCTTAGTTATGTTTTTAAAAAATATATGCAAAAGATCTACAGATAGGAAATTACAATACATATCTGAGAAAATTTAAAGAAGACCTAAATAAGCTGAAATATATACTATATTCATGGATTATATACTAAATATAAATAAATTGAAATATATACTATATTCATGGAAAGTTTGATGTTATTAAAGTGTAATTTCCTTCTAATTCATCTAGAAATAAAACACAATCTCAAAGTCCCAGAAGACTTTTGTGGAAATTAACATACTGATTCTGAAGTTCATAATAGAAGTGTGAAATGTTTCTAGAATAGCAAAAACAATTTTGAAAAGATAAAAAAGTCAAAATTAGAGAATTTATGCTACCAAATTTCAAAGTATAAAGCTACAATAATCAAGACACCATGGTACTGGCATAAGTCTGAACATATTAATAAATGAAACAGAATATAAAGACCAGAAAGAGACATTCAAAGACAATCGGTTTTTGAAAATCCAGGAGAGTACTTTATGAAGAAAAAAATAACCTTTTCAACAAATGGTATATGAACTCCATATACATGTAAAAGATAATGACTATATCACACCATACATAAAAATTAAAATTAACTATAAACGTGGCATATACATAAACTGTATCCTTTTTTTTTTTTTTTTTGACATGGAGTCTCACTTTGTTGTCCAGGCTGGAGTGCAATGGCATGATCTCGGCTCACTGCAACCTCTGCCTCCCAGATTCAAGCAATTCTCCTGCCTCAGCCTCCCGAGTAGTTGGCACTATAGGTGTGCGCCACCATGCCTGGCTAATTTTTTAATTTTTAGTAGAGACAGGGTTTCACCATGTTGGTCAGACTGGTCTCAAACTCTGACCTCAGGTGATTCTCCCACCTTGGCCTTCTGAAGTTCTGGGATTACAGGCATGAGCCTCCACACCAGGCCATAAACTGTATCTTTAATAAAGCATAGGCCTAAACTAAAACTTCTTGAAAAATATATAGAATTTTTTTTTTTTTTAGCTAGGGATAGGAAGAGGGTGTTCACACAGAATTAAAATATAAATAAATATTTAATAAAGCATAGGCCTAAACTAAAACTTCTTGAAAAATATGTAGGAGAAATTATTTTTTAGCTAGGAATAGGAAAAGGGTGTGTATACAGAATTGAAATATAAATACAGATATTAAATACAAAATATAAAATATAAAACCTAAATTTAAAAAATGGACAAATTGATAAAAGATACCTTAGCAAAATTAAAATATTTCCTCTGTAAAATATATGTTGGGAAGGGGCTTCAAGATGGCTGATTAGAGGCATCTGCTACTTGTCTCCTCCACAAAGAACCAAAACAGCAATTAGATAATAACACTTTGAATATATCCTCTAAGGGAACACTAAAATTCAACAGAGAAGTGAAAGGGAAAAACCTAAGGGAAGGAAGGAGAGGGAAGTGAGAGAGCTTGCTAAACCAAGATCAACTGCAAGCCTGGAGATGCTCCCCAATGTGGCTAAAGGGAAGGTGACGGATCCTTAGAGCTCCCTAATCCCAATGAAGAATCCTGCAATCCTATCCACAGGAAAGCCCTTCAACCTTCATGGGCCTTGAGACTAACATAAGGAGCTGTCTGGAGACTGCATGATGAAATTGCTCCAGAGAGGGAGATCACACTGGGCCGCACACACTCCTGAGTTTCAGGCAGCTACTGTATAGTGCCATTTTGTAAGCCCATCCCACACCAGACTGCATCAGGCCCTGGGCTCAACAGTCCTTGCATATTCTCATTCCTAGAGCCCCACCGACTTCCTACACTTACAGCCACCACCACAGCTGGCTGCTGTCACCCTGGCTGAAGCATGAGACATTGGCAGCAACCCAGCTGCCCCAATGTATTAGTCTGTTCTCACACTGCTATGAAGACATACCTGGACTGGGTAATTTATTATAATCAAATAGGTTTAATTGACTCACAGTTCCCCATGGCTGTGGAAACCTCAGGAAAATTACAATGATGGTAGAAGGGGAAGCAGGCATGTCTTACATGGTGACAGACAAGAGGGAGCATGTGTGTAAGTGCAGGAAAAACTACGATTTACAAAACCATCAGATCTCATGAGAATTCACTCACTATCACAAGAACAGCATGGGGGAATTTGCCCCCATAATCCAATCACTTCCCTCCCTTGACATTTGGGGATTATAAGTCCCTCCCGTAACATGTAGGGGTTAAAATTCGATATGAGATTTCGGTGGGGACACAGTCAAACTATATTATTTCACCCCCGGTCCCTCCCAAATCTCATGTCCTTTATATATTTCAAAACCAATCATGCCTTCCCAACAATCCCCCAAAGTCTTTACTCATTCCAGCATTAACTTGAAAGTCCAAGACCAAAGTCTCATCTGAAACAAGGCAAGTCCCTTTTACCTAGGAGCCTGTAAATTAAAAAACAAGTGAACTACTTCCAAGATACAATGGAGGTAAAGGCATTGGATAATTGTTCCCATTCTAAATGGGAGAAATTGGCCAAAACAAAGGGGCTACAGGCCCAATGCAGGTTCAAAATCCAGCAGGGCAGTTACTAAATCTTAAAGCTCCAAAATAATCTCCTTTTACTCCATGTGTCACATCCAGGTAACACTGATGCAAGAGGTGGGCTCCCATGGCCTCGGGCAGCTCTGCTCCTGTGGCTTCGCAGGGTAATCCCTGCACCCTCATGTTGAGTGTCTGAAGCTTTTCTAGGCACATGGTGCAAGCTATTGGTGGATCTACCATTCTGGGATCAGGAGGATGGTGGCCCTCTTCTCACAGCTCCACTAGGCAGTGCCCCAGTGGGGACTCTGTGTAGGGGCTCCAACCCCGCATTTCCCTTCCACACTGCTCTAGCAGAGTTTCTCTATGAGGGTCCCACCCTGCAGCAGACCTCTGCCTGGACATCCGGGCATTTCCATACATACTCTGAAATCTAGGCAGACTTTCCCAAACCTCAATTCTTGTCCTCTGTGCACCCACAGGCCCAATAGCACATGGAAGTGGCCAAGGCTTGGGGCTTGCACCCTCTGAAGCGACAGCCTGAGCCGTAGGTCAGCCTCTTTTAGCCACAGCTGGGATACAGAGCACCAAGTTCTGAGGTTGCACAGAGCAGCAGTGGGGCCGTAGGCACAGCCCAGGAAACCATTTTTTTCCTCCTAGGCCTCCAGGTCTGTGATGGGAGGGGCTGCTGTGAAGGTCCCTGACATGCCCTGAGGACATTTTCCCTATTGTCTTGTGGATTAACATTTGGCTCTTCTTATTTATGCAAACTTATGCAGTGGGTTTGAATTCCTTTCCAGGAAATGGGTTTTTCTTTTCTACTATATTGTCAGGCTGCAAATTTTCCAAACTTTTATGTTCCGCTTCTTGTTTAAACATAAGTTCTAATTTCAGATCATCTCTCTCAAGTTAACAGTTGCACAGATCTCAAGGGCAGGGGCACAATGACACCAGTCTCTTTGCTAAAGCATAGCAAGAGTGACCTTTACTCCTGTTTCCAGTAAGTTCCTCCTCTTCATCTGAGACCACCTCTGCCTGCACTTCATTGTCCATATCATTATCAGCAGTTTGGTAAAAACCATTTGACAAGTCTTTAGGAAGTTTCAAACTTTCCCACATCTTCCTGCCTTCTTTTGAGCCCTCCAAACGATTCCAGCCTCTGCGTGTTACCCAGTTCCAAAGTTGCTTCCACATTTTCAAGTATTCTTATAGCAGTGTCCCACTCCCAGTACCAATTTACTGTATTAGCCTGTTCTCACACTGCTGTAAAGATATATCCAAGACTGTGTAATTTATAAAGAAAAGAGGTTTAATTGACTCTCAGTTTCTCATGGCTGGAGAGGCCTCGGGAAACCTAGAATCATGGCGGAAGTAGAAGCAGGCATGTCTTACATTGTGGCAGGCGAGAGAGAGCACAGGTGTGACTGCAGGAAAAACTTCCATTTATAAAACCACTAGATCTTGTAAGAATTTGCTCAGTCTCACAGAAACAGCATGGGGGAAACCACCCTGATAATCTAATCACTTGCCTCGCTTGACATGTGGGGATTATATGCCCCTCCCTCAACATGTAGGGGTTACAATTTGCGATGAGATTTGGGTGGTGACACAGAGTCAAACCATATCACCTAAGCAGTGAAACTGCCACATTTTTATAAGCACTCAAGGACAGGCTGCACTACCCACAGTTGTGATTGGGGTCAAAATACATGCTCTCCAACTGCCTACCTAGAGCTGGTGCCACTGAAGGTAACCCTGCCCTCCCCAGCAGCTCTTGTACCCAACTTGAGCATTCTGCTGGGGGTCTTGGGATCACCCTGTGACTGCCAGCCACAGCCAGCACCTGCATGAACCATGGGGAGGTGGGGCTGAGAACAGGACTGACCAGCCTACCTCACTTCCTTCAGTGATTAATATGCCATCCAGTGCCCTGGGGATCTTCCAGCCCCTTCTACTACTTACTGTTGGCACCTGAGCACTACTTCTGGGGACCTGAAGTTGGGTTGAGTTGACCTGCCACTACCACTTCAGCAGGTACCCACCTACACCCACTGCCTGTGGGCCTGGAGACTTTCCTGATTATCCCATCACAGCCATCACTTTCCTGATTATCCCATGATCACCAACAACCATCACTGAAATGGTGCTGACCATTGCACACCCAGAGGTTTGTCTCACCAATTTTACAGAAATCACCCAGGCCACACCCACTGCCAGGGGATAGCAGACCTGCCTAACCATCTGGCCCACCACTATCACTGCCAGCAATCAAACAAGCTATAGCCTGGAAGCCCAAGAATCAGTATATTTAGATCTGCTAATAGTGGTGTAAACCACCTTGGGCCCCAAAAGCAGGCATATGTGGCCCTCTGCTGCCACCACTGGTCCCTGAGGACTGGCTCACCTGGTATCCCTATTCCCAGCAAAACTTCACCATAGCCTCCACTAACAGCAGCACCTTACATCATTGAGGAAATCACAGACACCACTGACATAATACTGTTTACAGTCAAATAAATCATATAGAGACCACACTCTATACACATCCAGAATCAAAGCCAAAGTGCCCTACTCAATTAACACCATAGATACATCTTCAGGAAAAAGCTCTCCCCTATGATAGCACATTAAAAAAGTGGAAGAAGCAACTGTTACACTACATGCATAGATATCAATGTAAGAATACAAGAAAAATGTAAAAGCATGGAAATGTAACACCTTCAAAAGAACGAAATAATTTTCCAACAACAGATTCCAAAAATAAAGAAATTTTTGAAACCACAGAAAAAGAATTCAGAAAAATGATATTTTAAAAGTTCAGTGAAATACAAGAGAGCACAGATGAATAAGACCAATAGATCAGAAAAACAGTTCAGTATATGAATGAGAAATTTACCAAAGATATATATATATAGATAGATTATATAGATATATACAGATATAACAGAACCAATCAAAAATTTTGAAACTGAAGCAGTCATTAAAAAAAATACAAAATGCCTCTGAAAGCTTTCAAAAATAGACTAGATCAAGTGGAAGGAATTTCAGAATGTGAAGATATGTCTTTTGAAGTAACCCATTCAGACCAAAATAAAGAAATAGAATACAGCAAAGCGTACATGACATGTAGGACATAATATGGTTTGGCTCTGTGTCCCCACCAAAATCTCATCTCAAATTTTAATTCCCATCTATCAAGGGAGGGATTTGGTGGGAGGTGATTGGACCATGAGGGTGCTTTCCCCCATGCTGTTCCCATGATAGTGAGTTCTCACAGAGCTGATGGTTTAAAAGTGTTCAGCTATTCCCCTGGCTGTCTCTCCTGCTGCCTTGTAAAGAAGGTGCTTGCTTCTCCTTCACCTTCTGCCGTAATTGTTAGTTTCCTTAGGCCTACCCAGCCATGTGGAACTTTGAGTCAATTAAACCTCTTTCCTTTATAAATCACCCAGTCTTGGGTAGTTCTTTATATCAGTGTGAAAACAGAATAATACAGGACACCATAAAGCAACTAAATATTTGATTTTTCAGTCTCCCAGAAGGTGAAGAGAAAACAAGGATTGACAACTATTTAAGAAAATAATAACTGAAAACCTCCCAAATCTAGGAAGAGCTTTAGACATCCAGATACAGCAAGCTCATAGATCTCCAAAGAGATACAATTCAAAAGGTTTTCTCCACAGCATATGATAGTCAAACTGTCAAAGATAAAAAGCAAATGATAAATCATAAACATAGCAAGAGGAAACATCTAATAATCTATAAAGGAAACTTCATCTGGTGAACAATAGACTTCTCAGCAGAAAGTTTACAGACCAAAAGAAAATAGAACAATATATTAAAAGTGCTACAGTCAAAACAAAAATCTGTTAGCCAAGAATACTCTCTGCAGCAAAATTATGCTTTATAAATGAAATATAAAGTCTTTTTTAGACAAGCAAATGCTAAGGGAATTCATTACCTCTAGACTGCCCCTACAAGAAACGCTTAAGAGAGTCCTAAATCTGGAAGTGAAATGATAACATCTACTATTATTAAAAATACACAAATCTATAAAACCTACTGGTAGTGCAAACACACTAATATTACCACTGCAGAAAACCAACAAACCACAATGATAAACAATATGAGAGAAAAAAAAGGGGAAATACAAAACAACCGGAAACCAATTAATGAAATTACAGGAATAAGCCCTCACATATTAATAATAACCATGAGCTATAGTAATCAAAACAGTATGGTATTCGTATAAAAAGACACAGAGACCAATGGCATAGAATAGTGACTCCAGAAATCACATATTTAGAGACAATTGATTTTGGACAAAACCACCTAGAAGATACATTGGGGAAAGAACCCCCTTCTCAATAAATGGTGCTGGGAAAACTGGATAACCATACACAGAAAAATAAAACTGGAATCCTATCTCCCACCATATGCAAAAGTCAAGATGAATTAAAGACTTTAACACAAAATCTGAAACATAAAACTACTGGAAGAAAACAGGTAAACTCTTTAGGACATCAGCCTAAGCAAAGATTTAATGGCTAAAACCTCAAAGGTACAGGAAATAAAATAAAAACTAGACCAATAGGAGTGTATTAAACTAAAAAAAAACTTCTCCGCAGCAAAATAAACAACCAATAGATTGAAGGAACAACCTCTTGAATAGGAGGAAATATTTCCAAATTATTCATCTAACAAGGGACTAATATCCAGGACATACAAATAATGCAAACAACTAAAGGGTGACAAAACAACAACAAATAATGCCATTACAAAATGGGCAAAGGATATGAATAGACATTTCTCAAAAGAAGACCTACAAATGGACAATAAATATACTTAAAATTACTCAACATTTCAAATCATCAGGAAATGCAAATTAAACCCACAATACAACATTATCCCAGTTAGAATGGCTATTATTAAAAAGGCAAAAAATAACAGATGCTGGCAAGGATGTAGATAAAAAAAATCCCTATACGCTGTCGGGGGGAATGTAAATTAGAACACTATAAAAAATAGTATGGAGATTCTCAAAAAACTAAAAATAGATCTATCATACAATCCAGCAATCCTCTACAGAGAAATTATCCCAATGAAAAGAAGTAAGTATATTAAAGAGAAACTTGGTTCAAGATGGCTAACTGGAGACATCTGACATCCATCCTCTCCAGAAAGAAGAACAAATTTTATGAATAGATAATCATACCTCAAATAGGACATCCAGTAGAGAACATTTGAGTCCAACAGAGAACTCACAGGAAAAAACCTGTGGCACAGAAGAAGAAAGAAAGAAGTGGTTAGTTCCCATTTAGAGGTTGAGATTTCCTCCCATTCAAGAGGTTGTTCCTTCAATCTATTGGTTGTTTCTTTTGCTGTGGAGAAGTTTTCTTTAGTTTAATATAGTCCTGTTTGTCTATGTTTTTGTTTCATTTCCTGTGCTTTTGAGGTCTTACCCATTAAATCTTTGCTTAGGCTGATGTCCTAAAGAGTTTCCCTGTTTTCTTCCAGTAGTTTTAAGATCAGCTGGAAGCCCTAAGGAGCTTGTTTTTGTGGGAAAAGGGTAAGCAAGAGAGCTTCAGTGGTTCACATTTTCAATGCGAACTGTCGTGATCCAAACCATGGAAAAGCATCTCTAGCCCAACAAACCCTGACAGTAATGTGGATGATGATTTGAAGACCCAGTGAGAGCACTGCAGAAGACAGGGAACTCATGCTGGGTCACAAAACACAACCCCCTCTCCCCATGGCACCAAGACCTGAGAGGCTGTGCCAGTGTGATACTTGGGAGTACAGCCATCATAGGACTACATCCAGCCCTGGGAACCACTATCCCCATATCTCCACATCTTGGAAGCTCCCACTGGTATTCCTCACTGTCCACCCAGAAGGCTGCCACAGCACAATGCTGGCTAGACCCAAAGGTGCTGCAGGGACTCCACTACTATAGCCCACAGGGATTACTACTCTCTGGGGAAAGGATGGTGCATCATAACAAAAAAGGCAGCCCCTGAGACATAAAAAAAAAAAAAAGCACATGCTTCCCAGTTCCTGAAAGCTCCCCATCCAGGCCTGTTTGAAGTGTCCATACCCCAGCAGTGCCACAAAACACCACTCTCTCTGGTGGCACAAACTCTGTGCTTGGCTTTGAAAACAGAGGGGAAAACCCCCTCTGAGTGGAGAAGCAAACTGTGTGCTCAGGCTTCCATATAGAGTGTGATCTCTCCTACCCATCTGCATGCCCACTACTGCTGTCACTATAGGCTAGGGCAAGCGAGCTGGGGGGCTGCCTTTTTGAGGTTGTGAGTGGAGATTGAGACTTACTGGTCATTGGCCTTATTATCCAGGCTCAGGTGCAAAAGAGCAGGGTTCTTCCCACACTTTTCTCTGTGCTGTGACACTGCTGCTGCAGAGCACAGAAGATCTGAGAGTAGTGCATCTGCATCTGTGTGGGGCAACTCTGTTCTACAGCCACCAACAACACCAATTCACCCTGCTTGGGACCCAGAGGGTTGTCCCACCACTGCTACTGCCACCATGCCCATAATGCCAGCTTCCAAGAAACCGAAGAACCTTCTGAGCCACCTAGCACACTGTGAAAACCACCAGCCCAAGAACTGACCTACTGGTAACTGTCAACCCAGGTGCCTACCTACACTGCCTTGGGGCACAAAGATAGGCATGCTCAATCCACCACTGCCAATACTGGGGCCTAAAGACTGGCCCATCTGACATCCAAGTCCCCAGCACAACTTCACCACAGCCTCCACTAATATCCCTACCCTTACTGTCCAATGAATCACAACACTAACACTATTTTTAGCCAAAGAAATCACATAGACACATGAGTGCATGCACCCTGAATTACAGTCAAAGTCCCTCACCTAACCAACATCACAGATACATACACAGAAAAAATTCCTCTCTACAAAAGTAAATTCAAGATCAGGAAGAAATGACTATTACACCAGACTTGGAGATTTCAATGTAAAAACATAGAAAACATAACAAAGCAAGAAAATATGACACCTACAAAGGAATACAATAATTCTCCAGCAACACATCTTAATCAAATAATTTTTTTGAAATCCTAGAATTCAAATAATTCAAAATATTGATTTTTAAAATGCTCAGAGATAAAAGAGAATCCTGAAAAACAATACAAAAAAAAAGCAGAAAGCAATTCAGAATATGAATGAGAGATTTACCAAACAGATAGATACTTTTTAAAAAGAACCAAATAGAAATTCTGGAAATGAACAATTTATTGAGGGAAATACAAAATACATTGGAAATCTTCAACAACAGACTAGAATATACAGAATAAAGAATCTCATAACATGTAGATAGTTCATTTGAAATGAATATAGTCAGACAAAAATAAAGAGAAAAATTAAAAAGAATGAGCAACATCTTTGCGACATTTGGGACAACATAAAACAGTTGAATATTGTTTTATATTAAGGCATATGAAATATGAAACAGGCATACGAAAAGTTACTCAAATTATTGACATTCCCAAAGGCAAGGAGACTAAGAAATGTATAGAAAATCTATATAACAAAATAATAGATGGAAACTTCCTACATCTGGAAATAAATTTAGACATTTCTATATAGGGACCTTAGCAATCCTCAGGCAGATATGCTGCAAAAATGTTTTCCCCATGGCACATTATAGTCAGAATGTCTAAATTCAAAAATAAAGAGCAAATTCTAAAAACAACAAAGGTGTCTACCTATAAAGGAAACCTCATCAGACGAACAATAGATTTTTCAGTAGCTATTTTACAGACCAGAAGAGAATGGGATGATATATTTCAAGTGCTGAAAGAAAAAAAAATAAAAACCCACCTGTCAGACAAGAATACTGTATCCAGCAAAAATACACTTTAGAGAAATAAAGTCTTTCCCAGAAAAGCAAATGCTAAGGGAATTCTTTACCACTAGACCAATCCTACAAGAAATGAACAAGGGAGTCTTAATCCTGGGAACTAAAGAATGACAATTACCATCTCTATTAGTCTGTTTTGAATTTCTATAAGAAAATATCTCAGACTGAGTAATTTATAAAGAAAAGATGTTAATTTGACTAATCGTTCTGAAGATTGTACAAGATATACAGTGCTGGCATTTGCTCTGGAGAGGGCCTCAGGAAACCTAGATCACAGCAGAAGGCAAAGGGGGAGTGAGTGTGTCACAATGCATGACAGGAAGCAAGAGAGAAGAGAGGAAGACATCGCACTCTTTTCAACAACCAGTTCTCACATGAATTAATAGAATGAAAACTCATTACCATGAAGAGGGCAACAAATATTCATGACGAAGAAGAATCCATTCCCATCACCCAAACCCCTCCCACTAGACCTCACCTCCAACACTGGGGATTATATTTTAACATTAGCTTCGGAGGGCAAAGGCATCCAAACTATATCAACATCATGAAAACATAGGAAAGTATAAAATTCACTGGCAAAGGAATTACAAAAAGGTGGAAGGGAAAAGACTCAAATGGAACCACTACAGAAATCCACCAAACTAAAATGAAAATCAGTGAGAAAAAGAAACAAAGAATATATACAATAACCTGAACTATGACAGGAACAAAGCCTTACATATCAATAACCTTGAACATGAATGGATTAAATTATGCACTCAAAAGGTACAGAATTGTTGAATGGATTTTATTTTATTTTATTTTTTTTTTGAGACGGAGTCTCGCTCTGTCGCCCAGGCCGGACTGCGGACTGCAGTGGCGCAATCTCGGCTCACTGCAAGCTCCGCTTCCCGGGTTCACGCCATTCTCCTGCCTCAGCCTCCTGAGTAGCTGGGACTACAGGCGCCCGCCACCGCGCCTGGCTAATTTTTTTGTATTTTTAGTAGAGACGGGGTTTCACCTTGTTAGCCAGGATGGTCTCGATCTCCTGACCTCATGATCCACCCGCCTCGGCCTCCCAAAGTGCTGGGATTACAGGCGTGAGCCACCGCGCCCGGCCTGGATTTTAAAAATTACAAAAAAAAATCATGATTCAAATATTTGCTGCTTACAAGAAATTCACCTTACCTGTAAAGACATATAAACTGAAAGTAAAGAGATGCACAAGCACAGGCAACCAAGGCAAAAATGGACAAATGGGATCACATCCAGTTAAACAGTTTCTGCACAACAAAGAAAACAGTCCACAAGGTGAAGGGACAACCCACAGAATGAGAGAAAATGTTTGCAAACTGCCCGTCTGACAAGGGATTAATAACCAGAATACATAAGGAGTTCACATAACTGTATAGGAAACAATCTAATCTGATGAAAAAAATGGCAAAATATTTGACTAGCCATTTGTCAAAAGGAGACATACCAAGGGCAAGCAGGCATATGAAAAGCTGCTCAGCAACATTGATCATCAGAAAACTTCAAATCAAAACTACAACGAGATATTATCACATCACAGTTAATGTGGATTTTATCCAAAAGACAAGAAATAACAAATGGTGGAGAGGATGTGGAGAAAAGGAACACTTGTACCCTGTTGGCAGGAATGTAAATTAGTACAGTCACTGTAGAGAGCAGTTTGGAACTTCCTCAAAAAACTAAAAATAGGGCTAGCATATGTTCCAGCAATCCCACTCCTAGTTACATACCCAAAAGAAAGAAAATAAGCATATGGATGAGATATCTGCACTCCCATGTTTATTGCAGCACTATTCACAATAGTCAAGATTTGAAAGCAATCTAAGTGACTATCAACAAATGAATTAATAAAGAAAATATGGTACATAGACACAAGGGAGTACTCTTCAGCCATAAAAAAGAATGAGATACTATCATGTGTAACAACATAGATGGAACTAGAGGCCATTAATTGAAATAAACCAGGCACAGAAAGACAAACTTTGCATTTTTTCACTTACTTGTGGGAGGTAAAAAACAAAGCAAAACAACACTAAATTTTTATAAAACTCTAGAATGGACAAATTTAACTAATTAGGAGTATGGTGGCTACCTAGGACAAAAAATGCAGAGGATTAGGGTAGAGCAAAAGAAACAAGAAGAGATTTTGCCTTCTCTGATATGATTCAGGGTTTCTTATCAGGCAAATATTATCTGCCAGACTCTCTCATCGTTTAGGATGAGAAGTCTCATTCTCAGGAAGTCTCTGATACATTAATTAATCTGCTGCTATATAAGCTTTCTAGACATATCATAGATGAGTTTTAATTTCAGCAGTGAATGCACATTTAGTTCAAATTGGTAGAACAGCGATCTACCTACCTAATAGCATTTTAATTAAAGGAAACATCCCAGGATAGCTTGAGCATTAGAGTGCAAGGAAACTTATCACATAGTAGGGAGACAAATTCCAGTGAAAAAAAGACTATGAGCAAAGAAATTCGTATTATACAAAGGACAGTGTTAGCACATAGACGCTATTTACTCTATTAAAGGAAGTAAACTGTTATTGCAACCACATTCACATTTTAATACTCAAACCTGACATTCATTGATACTGTAACATAAATTTATGTCATAAAAATGAAAGTTCTTGAAATGTTGCAGTTTATATGTGAAGAGTAACTTCTGTCTTAATCTCTATGGTATGATTTCTATTGTTTATGTCTATAGTTGATATTAGTAGATTTTCTTGGATAGAATTTACAGTAGATCCTTGAATGCATAAAATCATTAGAATAACTCTACCTGGAATAACCTGAAATCACATGTCTGCAATAAGATATTCAAATAAATAAAAGTTATATTTAAATTCACAAATGCAAATCTAGTAAACAATATTAATATATCACAGGATTTCTGTAGTAAGTACCAAGTAAAACTTTTTCTGCCATAATGTACCTTCTAAACCTTTTCTCTGGTACCCCAAATTCGATAAAAGTGCATGTATCTCCTCATTTTCTTTCTGAAATTTCTTTATTGTCTAATTTTATCCTTATTGTCAATATTATTACCTTACCATTTTGCTAATTTTGATTTAAGCCACCTTTTATTTTCTAATTTCTATTGTTTTAGTTTCACATATATTAACTTTCCTCTTTATCTTATTATCATCAGTAAAGCACTCATTATGATATTCTTACCTTCACATAATTAGCTCTCAAAATTCCCCTTGTCTGGCCATTTCTAGCTATTGCTTGCCCTTAACTCTATTCACAGTTATTTTGTATGTTCATTGTTTTGACCCAATTATTTTTCTTCCTGAAATTCTATCAATGGCAAATTGTTGTCACTTAAATTAAGTGCAATCTTCTGTCAGTAAATGTAAAGAAACTTCTGCACTCTAATACTTTATATCCTATGCCATATTTAACTTTTAAAAAATAAATCCTACTTCATACACAACTCACCATGAGGCTTCTTTTGAAGGCAAACACTCATGAGCTGTCTCCTCATCCATCTGGGTCTCCTCCTTTGGGAAGTCATTCCTCATTAGGGCTAATTCCTCATAACATAGACACAGTAAATGGACAGTGCTGATTTGGTCTGTTCAGACTTTGGCTTTCCTTGGCAGCCCTGACAGAAATTCAAACTTTAAGCAGCCTGAGAAAAGCATAAGCAGCAATTTGCAGTTCAATCTGGAAGTAGATTAGAGATTGCTGGGAAAAAAAAAAAAAAACTCCTTCTTTAAGACTTGCTCATATTAAGACAAAAAGATTAGGTCACTTATAAACTTTTGGTTCTGATTTTTTTTCAGTGTATATTCAATCTTAAAGGCAATGGCCTGATTAATTGGGTGTGGCTTTCTTTTTTCTATTTGTCCCCTTTTTCACCCTATAGCCATTTCTCATCTTTATTCAACAAAACATGGACTAAAAATGTGGCTTTTGTACTGTGCCTAGATGTATTCCTGTTTCATTTCCTAAGGAGTGGAAGAATTTTGAAAGCATTTGATATACTTTCCTTTCTCTTCCTGTCATAAATGCAATCATACCCATTATGAACTAAATATTTGTGTCCCTCTAAAATTCATGTGTTGAACCCCAACCCCATGTGTGAGGTAATTAAGGTTAAATGAGATCATAAGGCTGGATCCCTGATCAGATATCATTAGTGTTTTCACAAGATGAGACACCCAAAGAGATCATGTGAGGACATTGCCAGTAGGCAGCCAAGGCAGCCAGCCATGTGCAAGCCAGGAAGAGAGCCCTCACCAGAAAGGGACCATACTGGCACCCTTATCTTAAACTTCCAGCCTCTGGAAGTGTGAGAAAATAAATATCTGTTGTTCAGGTCGCCCATTCTGTGTTATAATGGCAGCCCAGTCAGATTAAGACAGCACCTAAATTCCTGTTGGTTATTTTCGAAAGCATAATATTTGGTCAGGACCTAACATACCTAACTTTACTCAGTCATTCTGCAGTCTGTCCTTATAAAAGGTTCATATATATATATATATATATATATCACAACCAGAAAAACTAAGGACATTTAAGTTTCAAAACCCATCAGTCTCTTGATTACTTGGGCTTGGCCACAGAGAGTTTTCATTCAGCTATTCAGCCTTGTCCATGGGCAGACCTCAGTGATCTACAACATTAAGGTATGCTAAGCAGAGCCAAAGATCCACAGAATTCCTGGCTTTACCACATAGGTGGCAAGGCATCGTACTACACAGATGACAAAGCGAGGGAAAGAAACTTAAAGGAAAAGAATAATAAACTAAGGGAGAGAAAAAGATGCTATCTGGTGAGGGTAAAACTTTGATAATAGTCATACTGACTGGAGTTACACTTGAACCCTAGGCAACTCAGCAACTTGATTCAGCCTACTCCTTTGGAAATATTCTTCTATCAGAAAGTCCTGGGCATTTTTGAAACCTTGTTATACACATACTCTTCTGGTTGCCTAAAGCTTTCTGGAAATTCTTTGTAGATAGGTAAGAATTAGCAAATGAGAAATGAATTGGCCAAGGTCTATGCATCCTTGATTTATCAGAAATTAACATAGTTAATTTTGTTATCAAGAAACACCCATAGAGGTTCTCAATGGGTGTTTATTCATAATAAAACTTACATTGTTTACACACAAAGAGGTATAAGTAGATCATCTTACTGTGACAAAGTTTAGAGATATTGAATTCAGTCCATGTTAGATTGATGAGAAATTTTTGTACAGGGCAACAGAGTGCAACTAACTTTGTATAAGAGAGTGCCCAGAAAACATTAATGACATTTGAATACATTTTCATAGATTTCCTGCATGTTTTTCTATTTGTAAGAAAATTGATCTCCATCAATTCTACTCAGTGTCCCTGTGGATTTAATCTTAGTGAATGTTCTCCTTTTATAAAGTGTTAGTATATCTTGTTTTCCTGTATGACATAGGCTAGAGAGAAAAAAGAACCCTATGAAAAATCTCTTGGGAAAAAATACTCTGAAAACATAAATATTTAGAGAAATGTATATCTTTTAGAAAGATATTACACATAATTTATCATAAAGGTAAGAGATTTTTTAACTGGCAAGGTTTTTTATGCATTCCCTCTTGTAACACAAATTCTAATAGAAAATTTATGTAGTTTAAGTTTGAACAAGTTATACAACTGCTTTTTTATTCAAGATATTTTAATAGCTTGTTCACAATATAGAAATAAACAGTACACCATTGTACCTCAGCAATAAAGAATTTTAAGAGAGTACAAAATAAATATGCAACAAAATTAAATTATAAAAACTTATTGACTCTAGGAATGTTCACAATAATTCATCAATATTGCTGGAATGTAGAAATGCAAGTCATGAAATGTCTCAATTTTAGTGTTATTATCTCAGGTTTATCATTGTTGCTGGTAAATAGTTACATAAAAATAAATTTTATCTAGGAATACAAAGAAAATTAGAATACATTTTGGCACAAATTTCCACAGGGAAAAAAGAAAGCAATATAACAGTCTTAATTCAAATTCAAAGAAGGTTGGAATTGATATAAGTTTCCAAGTTTTCTCCAGCAAGCATCACTTCTGGACTGGGAGTATGGAAGAGAATAAGGTAAAGACTATTAAAATGTTTAATTATAATTCACTGGGTTAAGTGTTCATTATTCAAGGAAAACTGAAAACCATCATTTATGCTGCATTTTCTTCTTTCATCTTCCTGGCTTGCATATAAACTTAGTCTTGGAATAGTGTAAGTGAAGCCAGCTCTGAATGTTCACTCTCCATTTAATATGATCACTCAGAAATTAGGAAATGTTTTCATGTGTCATTTCATTACTAGATGAGATGGAAAATTAATTTAGAAACAACAAAAATGCATAAAAAGTTGGATCTATAACTATTTTATTGTATAAGTTAATTTTTTTAAAGATTAATTTCTTCTTGAATAAACTTTCATAATATATTAGCGTGGCAAACATTTTTATCTGTCTTGTATCCAGTGTTATTAGGAGACATTTTTCTGTTATGATTCTTTGTCAATTTGTAATTATATAATTATATAAAACTTGTTAAATGTTTTTTGTCACAAGTTTAGTAAAGCAAAGAATGCAAAAAATATACTTTATTTTTGTAATAGCCTTATGTAGTGTCTGGGTGAATTTTGTTTTATTGATAAGATTTTACAAGGAAAATTAGTTGAAAGAGGACAGACTAAGTGGCAAATATGACATACAAGAATAAACATTGTTAATTGAACTTGTCACTTGAAAATGGTAGCCATATAAATTTACTTATTCTGTAATGCATCATAAGTTGTGTGTGATCATATTGACAAAAGATATTTTCTGTAAGTAGAAAAGAGCTGAAGGCCCATAGTCTACAGTAAAGTGGATGAGATAAACATTAATTTGTTTTGACAAGAAATATTATATTGCATCAGAGCAGCTCTACAAAAGGTATATTGCTGTTTACATTGAGACTGCCTCTCATAATTAGGTGGTGATGAATGTGTCAATAATAACCAAGTGAAACTAAGGACACATTATCAAATACATATGTCTAAGATCGCAATATCTTAGTCAAATGGCATCTCATGAGTATAACTCATCAAATACAAACGATAAAATGTCAAAGAACTAAATATCCATAACATAAATATCCCCAAATTTTCCTGACTGAACAAATTCCTCTAGAAGTGTAATACACTCTTGATTTTCTTCTTTTGCTTGTTTTTGATTTGCTAATCAAATCATGTTTTCCTTTCAATAATGAACACACTGAATGTACACTTAACACAGGAATCTAAGACAACTTTTTTTTTCTAACATCTCCTATAGCCCCATTCCCCCACCCACAACCCAAATAAGCAATTCCAAGAATTGCATTTCACCATGAGGGAAATGGCCCAGGAAATACACTTTTCAAAACCTTCAAGTGTCACTGAAAATTAGAGAAGGGAGTATTTGTAAGTAATTTTAAAAAAACTTTCTGCTCCTCATTGTAATCTGAATAAAGACACAGGCCTAACTAAAAAACTATTCAATTCTGAGACAACCAGCATTCTCAGAAGTGAGTAGAAAGAATTGTGTCAAGATCACACTAACCACCATTTAAAGGATATAGGGCTAGAAAGAAATGTGAGCCATGAGCCTCATGATGAGCCTTAAACCTGGAATCGCTTTCCTATCGCAGGTTGGAAAAGTTGACAGCAACTTCACTGAGGAACCCTAGGGTTTTTGCAGCAACTATAATAACAGAAGACTTGGAAGTTCTACGGGATTTCTCCCTTAGCGGTAGCAGTGGGCAGACCTCTATTGTAGCACCTGTATAAAACACAGACAAGATAAAAAGCACACACATAAGAAAAGTTTCAGGTTCAATATACCTTCATATTGCACTGGATGTTCTATAAAACTCAATCTAAGAGGTAAGCTTGCATAAAACATCATCCAGATTAACATAAGAAAAAAGAATTTTAAAAGCACAGAGATGAACAGTGAAGGTGAACAATGTTTGTAGAACAACGTGAAGCCTGAATAGGTCTTCTTCATTTAAATATTGGAAGTACCGTACTGTAGTTAACAGTATACTTCTGCAGATAAGTTATGCTCAAAATCTGGATCTTCCACTTACTAGCTGTGTAATTATTGGGAACAAATTTCATTTTATTTTTGCCTCTGTTTCTTTACATATTAATATCATCATGTCTTTCTTTTCTATTTGTCAAAAAACAAAAGAAAACAAACAAAAGAAGCCCTAAAAACCCACATTGCCTTCTTCTAGGGTTTTTATGGTTTTAGGTCTTACATTAAAGTCTTTAATCCATCTCGAGTTAATTTTTGTATTAGATGTAAGGAAGGGGTCCAGTTTCAGTTTTCTGCATATGGCTAGCCAGTTATCCCAACACCATTTATTAAATAGGGAATCCTCTCCTCATTTCTTGTTTTTATCAGGTTTGTCAAAGATCAGATTGTTGTAGATGTGTGGTGTTATTTCTGAGGCCTCTGTTCTGTTCTATTGGTCTATAGATCTGTTTTGGTACCAGTACCATGCTCTTTTGTTTACTGTAGCCTTGTAGTATAGTTTGAAGTCAGGTAGTGTGATGCCTCCAGCTTTATTCTTTTTGCTTAGGATTGTCTTGTCTATATAGGCTCTTTTGTTGGTTCCATGTGAAATTCAAAGTAGTTTTTTCTAATTCTGTGAAGAAAGTCAATGGAAGCTTGATGGGGATAGCATTGAATTTATAAATTGCTTGGGGCAGTATGGCCGTTTTCACGATACTGATTCTTCCTAGCCATGAGCATGGAATGTTTTTCCATTTGTTTGTGTCCTCTCTTATTTCCTTGAGCAGTGGTTTATAGTTCTCCTTGAAGAGGTCCTTCAGATCACTTGTAAGTTGTATTCCTAGGTATTTTATTCTCTTTGTACCAATTGTGAATGGGAGTTGATTCATGATTTGGCTCTTTGTTTGTCTATTATTGGTGTATAGGAAAGCTTGTGATTTTTGCACATTGATTTTGTATTTAGAGATTTTGCTGAAGTTGCTTATCAGCTTAAGGAGATTTTGGGCTAAGATGATGAGCAATCGTGTCATCTGCATACCATTCAGGACATAGACATGGGCAAAGACTTCATGACTAAAACACCAAAAGCAATGTCAAAAGCCAAAACTGACAAATGGGATCTAATTAAACTAAAAAGCTTCTGCAGACCAAAATAAACTATCATCAGAGTGAACAGGCAACCTACAGAATGGGAGAAAATTTTTGCTATCTGTCCTTCTGACAAAGGGCTAATATCCAGAATCTACAAGAAACTTAAACAAATTTACAAGAATAAAACAACTCCATCAAAAAGCGGGTGAAATATATGAACAGACACTTCTCAAAAGAAGACATTTATGCAGCCAACAAACATATCACAAAAATCTCATCATCACTGGTCATTAGAGGAATGCAAATCAAAACCACGATGAGATACCATCTCACAACAATTAGAATGGCAATCATTAGAAAGTCAGGAAACAACAGATGCTGGCGAGGGTACGGAGAAATAGGAATGCTTTTACACTGTTGGTGGGAGTGTAAATTAGTTCAACCATTATTGAAGACAGTGTGGTGATTCCTCTAGGATCTAGAACCAGAAATACCAGATGACCCAGTAATCCCATTACTGGATGTATACCCAAAGGATTGTAAATCATTCCAATATAAAGACACATGCACACATATGCTTATTGCAGCACCATTCACAATAGCAAAGACTGGGAACCAACCCAAATGCCCATCAATGATAGACTGGATAAAGAAAGTGTGGCACATATACACCATGGAATACTATGCAGCCATAAAAAAGATGATCTCATGTCCTTTGCAGGGACATGGATGAAGCTGGAAACCATCATTCTCAGCAAACTAACACAGGAACAGAAAACTAAACACCACACGTTCTCACTCATAAGTGGGAGCTGAACAATAAGAATACGTGGACACAGGGACGAAACCTCACATACTGGGGCCTGTCAGGGGCTGGGGGACTAGAAAAGGGATAGCATTAGGATAAATACCTAAGGTAGAGGACAGGTTGTTGGGTGCAGCAAACCGCCATGGCACGTGTATACCTATGTAACAAACCTGCATGTTCTGCACATATACCCCAGAACCTAAAGTATAACTTTAAAAGCCCACATTGTCCATCCTTCATCTGCAACTGAACTATATTTTGTTCCATTTGTTACCTAGCTCCAACTCCTAAAATGATTGCATTTTGTTCTGTGGAATGTGTGGCCCATCAAAACCAGGATCCCTGTTTCTCCAACTCTTCTAAAGGTGATCTTCATCACAAATGGCATCAACAGAAAACACCACTTGAAACATAGGGGAAAAAGTGGCCCCACTTCCTTCATTGGCTATTTTCCTTTTTTTGTTGTTGGATCCTTTATGCAATAAAATATATTGTAAAAGTTATATCTATTAACTCTGTTCAATTCCTCTTCTACCACTTATGAATCCATTTTAATCTGATTTTCACTGTATCATTCTATTCAGGCTGTTCTTGTCAAAGTTATCAATGACTCAGTATTACTAATTATAATGTTTGATTATCAGTTCACATCTTATTTAATCAATAAGACACATTTTAAACAATTTATCACTCCTTTCTTCTTGACATATTTTGTTTTTCAGTTGGCTCTTGAGACACCATACCCTATTTCCTAAACACACATTTTGTTCCTTCTTTAATTTCATTCAGGTTTCTGCTTTTATTCCTGAGTCTTCTTATATTTTCTATAAACACATACCATCTTGGTAATTTCATCTGGTATCACGGCTTTAAATATCATCTATATGCCTAAACTCCAGAAATTCTAACTTCTGAAATCCAAATTAATATGTACAACTTTTAATTCAACAATACCCCTTAGATGGCCTGGATACCTATAACTCAAAAGGACCAGATCTAAAATTTGCATCCCTTCCAATTCTTCTTACCTTACAACCTTCCTCAGCAATTGATGGCCACTCCATCGTTCTGTCTTCTTAGCACAAAATACTCATGGGCTTCATTGACTCTGTTTTTCTCAAAATACAGATCTCATTCATACACCATAGAGCTAATCCATTAATTAATTAATCATTAATTAATGATATTGGCCATACCATCAAAATATATTCAAAGTTCTATCACTTCTCAATATCTACCATGCTATCATGTCAATTCAAGTCATTATCTGGATTATTGAATTAGTTGACTAGTCTCACTTTGTGAAGTAGGAAGAAAAGTGATATCAACCTGACATCTACTCTTAACACGGTGGCCAATATGCTGCTTTAAATAAATAAATCACATCATGTCACTCTTCAGTAAAGCCCCTGTATTGACTCTCAATTTCTTTCAAAGTAAATGTCATTGTCTTGATAATGGCCTAAGTGGCTTCATATTATTCTGGCTATGTTTCCTCTTGGACCTTATCTCATACTACTCACCTCCTGCCATATATCTTAAATTGTTAGTAGGAAATAGTAACTTACAAAATTTGGTTGATTACAATCTCAATGGGGAGAGTGAGGGAATTTGGAAGTGGCCAGCAAAAAAAAAAAAAAAATGTCTAATGTACATATTCTACGACCAAGCAATACTTGTAAATAGCCTTCTTCCAAATGATTGCCATGGCTAACTAAAGAATTCCTGATAGCTTGATTTGTAGAGATCTCTGGATAACCTACCTAACTCCAATTATATGTATTAAGCTCATAAATTTTCTTGGATGAGGCTGTGTTTATCTGGGAGTTGAGACATATTGATGAAATCATGTTTATATTTGAGTGAACTCTAAACTGTACCTTGGCATGCATATTATGTATTGTGAAAATGAGATCTATGCATTACTTTTGCCAAAGTTGGCCTTTGGCATATATTTATATAGGCCATACATAGAGAATTCACCTAGCTTTATGTCTGAAAAGAAAGCTTGACGTGGAGGTTTGGAGCTATGCTTATAATAGTTCAAGTGTAGTCATCGTTTTCATACTGTTATCCCATAAACTGTATACCTACTGGCTAGATACAAATTCCTGGACACCTGCATCTCTCCTAAAGAACACTGCTTATCTCCTTGCAGTTAATTTTGAATGTGCTTTCTTCCTCAGAGTCTTTAAGTAAATAAACATATTTGACGTACACAGACAGTTTCAGGGCCCAGATTTTCTTTTAGTCCTTTTCTACTATTTACATTTCTCACAATAATTTTCATAAAGAAGGGACTTATGCCAAAATACCAATTTTCTTTTAGTAATTTTCCTCAGGGAATGAAATAGGATAATGAAGAGAAAGGAGATGATATTGTGGAGACTGGTTTAAATGTATCTGTTTAAAAAAAAGGCTAAATTTAGACAAATTATAAGAAAAAATCTATCAGCAGTTTAGGAAGATGATGATTATAAACAACCAATTGGGTGAAGAAAGTTAAAATAAAAAGAAAGGTAAAGGTTTTATGGTGGCTTTGTATGGTATAATGTATTTTTTATTAAATACATCTGACAAGAGATTAATAACCAGAATATGCAAGGAACTCAAACAACTCAATAGCCTAAAAACAAACAATCCAGTTAGAAGATGGGCAAAATATCTGAATAGACATTTTTCAAAAGAAAACACACAAATGGCCAACAAGTATATGAAAACAGTCTTCAATATCCCTAATCATCAGGGAAATGCAAATTGAAACCACAATGAGATATCATATCACCACAGTTAGAATGGCTATTATCCAAAAGACTGTAAATGAATGCTGGCAAGGATGTGAGAAAAAGGAAAACACTTGTACACTGTTGTTGGGAATGTAAATTAGTACAGCCGCTATGGAAAACAGCATGGAGGGTTCTCAAAAAACTAAAAATAGAACGACAATATGATGCAGAAATTCCACTGCTGAGCATGTATCCAAAATAAAGAAAATCAGTATATTGAAGAAATATTTGCACTCCCATGTTTATTACAACACTATTCACAATAGCCAAGATATGGAATTAATCTAAGTGCGCATCAACAGATGAGTGGATTTTAAAAATGTGGTATATACATATTATTCAGCAATAAAAAAATGAAACCCTGTCATTTGCAACAACATGAATAGAACTGGAGGACATGATGTTAAGTAAAATAAGCCAGGCAAAGAAAGACAAATACCACATGTTCTTAAACATATGTGGGAGCTGAGAAAAATGATCTCACAGAGGTAGAAAGTAGAATGATGGTTACCAGAGGTTTGGAAGGGGGTAGGGGGAAGGATAGAAAAAGAGAAGTTGTTTAATGGCCAAAACAATACTGTTGTATAGAAGGAATTAAGTTTTAGCATTTAATAACAAAATAGGGTGATTATACTCAACAGTAATTTATTATATATTTCAAATAGCTAGCAAATAATGTTCCCAAGACAAATAAATGATAATTGAGGTAATGGATAAGCCAATTACCCTGAGTTGATCATTACACATTGTATGCATATATCAATATAGCAAATTTAATCTGTAAATATGTAAAACTATTAGGTATCAATTGATAAAGTTTTATGGTGGATAAAACTTTTTTGATGTACTGTATTGTTTATTAAATGTTAGCTATTAAATATAATCTGTTTATACTAAAATATTAGTAACACATTAATAATATATTGAAACTGTTTCACTCTCCTTAAGGGCATGAAACAGACTGAGAAAACTGATCAGTTCTTACAGATACTCTGCTTTCCAGTGTCCTCTACAGATATATCCCAAGAGTATAATGAGAAGTGAAGTTCCCCCCAGAAGGCAGAAGCAAAACTATGGAGAACAATCGACTAGACAATTACTCCCAAACCATGGAGAGTCATTTCTCTCCTGGCTCCAATACTTAAGTGATCAAAAACCAAATAGGTTATTTTTTTATATACAATGAATGGGTTGGAGCTTTTTAATACAAGATTCTCAGTCTGATGTGACATTAAATGCATAGTTTGTTAAATCAGACTGGTTAGTGAGGGAGGTGCAGGACACAATTCTTTTCATTATTGCAATTAAGTTGGGAACTCATCATGTTTAACATCAAGGATAAAACTTTCTCAAATATTCCACTACAGAAAAATAGAAAATGCTTTTGGAGGTAGTGTGAGTGTTACAACTGAGGGTATTTTTTGAATCAGTAAATGATAATGTTGAAAGATTGTGAGGGCTAAACTCATGCTTTTTATTCAGTCTTTGAAATAATCACTGCAAAAATCCCTGCTCATGTATTACAGTGACAACATTCTGAATTAACCAAGGATAGTTGTTGTTGTTTGTGTGTGTATGTGTGTTTGATTGTCTATTTGCTGGTTTAGGTTTCCCTGAGTAGAACCAAGTAACAGATAAATATTGTTCTCACATTATGTTCAAAGAAAAATAAACAAAAATAAAGATATTTAAAGGAGTAAGGCAATGGGCTGCTTGTTGTCTTAAACACAGAAGATGGACCAGGATTTAGGAAGGTTATAATGATTATCATTTTTATACATATGTGAAGTTCGAGCATCTAAATAATGGTATAAAAGAGGTGATTGAATATAGATATGAGGTTTCAGTTGAGATCCTTAACCTCAGAAATAGTTTTGGAATAAATCATTACAGAAATAATAATTCAGGACATAGAAATAAATAAGATCCCTCAAGGAACCTGGATTTAAAAAAGAAGAGAAGAGGCTGAGTGCAGTGGCTCACGCCTGTAATCCCAGCACTTTGGGAGGCTGAGGTGGGCAGATCACTTTAGGTCATGAGTTCAAGACCACCCTGGCCAAGATGGTAAAGCCCCGTCTCTACTAAAAATATAAAAATAAGCCAGGCATGGTGGCACGCGCCTGTAATCCCAGCTTCTCAGGAGGCTGAGGCAGGAGAATTGCTTGAACACAGAGGGCAGAGGTTGCAATGAGCCCAGATTGCACCACTGCACTCCAGCCTGGGCGACAGTGTGACACGTCTCAATAAAAGAACCAAAACCAAACAAACAAAAAGCCCAACCAAAAAAAGCCCAAGACCAGAGAGATTCACAGCTGAATTCTATCAGAGCTGGTAACATTCCTTCTGAAACTATTACAAGCAATAGAAAAAGACGGTCTCCTCCCTAACTCATTATATGAGGCCAGCATCATCCTGATTCCCAAACCTGGCATAGACACAATGATAAAAAAAGAAAATTTCAGGCCAGTATCCCTGATGAACATCAATGTGAGAATCCTCAATAAAATATTGGCAAACCAAATCCAGCAGCACATAAAAAGCTTATCCACCATAATGAAGTCAGCTTCATCACTGGGATGCAAGGCTGGTTCAACATATGCAAGTTAATCAACATAATCCATCACATAAACAGAACCAATGACAAAAACCACATGATTATCTAAATAGATGCAGAAAAGCCTTTCGATAAAATTCAACACCCCTTTACGCTAAAAACACTCAATAAACTAGGTATTAGTTTATCTCAAAATAATAAGAGCTATTTATGACAAACTCACAGCCAATATCATACTGAATGGGCAAAAGCTGGAAGCATTTCCTTTGAAAACCGGCACAAGAAAGGATGCCCTCTCTCACCACTCCTATTCAATATAGTATTGGAAGTTCTGGCCAGAGCAATCAGGCAAGAGAAATAAATAAAGGGTATTCAAATAGGAAGAGAGGAAGTCAAATCATCTCTGTTTGCAGGTGACAGGATTGTATATTTAGAAAACCCTATCATCTCAGCCCAAAAACTCCTTAAGCTGATAAGCAACTACAGTAAAGTCTCAGGAGACAAAATCAGTGTGCAAAAATCACAAGCATTCCTATATACTAATAATAGACAAACAGCCAAATCATGAGTGAACTTCCATTCACAATTACTACAAAGACAATAAAATACCTAGGAATACAACTTACAAGGTATGTGAAAGACCTCTTCAGGGAGAACTACAAACTATTCTCAAGGAAATAGGACGCAAACAAATGGAAAAACATTTCATGCTCATGGAGAGAAAGAATCAATGTCTTGAAAATGGACATTCTGCCCAAAGTAATTTATAGATTCAATGCTATTCCCATCAAGCTATCATTGACTTTCTTTACTGAACTAGAAAAAACTACTTTAAATTTCATATAGAACTGAAAAAGAGCCTGTATAGCCAAGACAATCTTAAGCAAAAAGAACAAAGCTGGAGGGATCATGCTACCTGACTCTATACTACAAGTGTACAGTAACCAAAGCAACATGGTACTGGTACCAAAACAGATATATAGACCAATAGAACAGAACAACGGCCTCAGAAATAACACAACACATCTACAACCATCTGATCTATGACAAACCTGACAAAAACAAGCAATGGGAAAGGATTCCCTATTTAATAAATGGTGCTGGGAAAACTGGCTAGGCATATGCAGAAAACATCAACTGGACCTCTTTTTTACACCTTATACAAAAATTAACTTGAGATGGATTAAAGACCTAAACATAAAACCTAAAACCATAAAACCCTAGAGGAAACTTAGGCCAAACCATTCATGACATAGGCATGGGCAAAGACTTCATGACTAAATCACCAAAGGCAATTGCAACAAAAGCCAAAATTGACAAGTAGGATATAATTAAACCAAAGAGCTTCTGCTCAGCAAAAGAAACTATCATCAGAGTGAACAGGCATCCTACAGAATGGGAGAAAATTTTTTAAATCTTATCTATCCAACAAAGGTCTAATATCCAGAATCTACAAGGAACTTAAATAAATTTATAAGAAAAAAAACAACCCCATCAAAAAGTGGGTGAAAGATATGAACAGACACCTCTCAAAAGAAGACATTTATGTGGCCAACAAATGAAGAAAAGTTCAGCATCACTGGTTATTAGAGAAATGCAAATCAAAACCACAATGAGATACCATCTCACACCAGTTAGAATGGCAATCATTGAAAAGTCAGGAAACAACTGATGCTGGTGAGGATGCAGAGAAATAGGAATACTTTACACTGTTGGTGGGATTGTATATCAGTTTAACCATTGTGGAAGACAGTGTGGTGATTCCTCAAGTATCTAGAACCAGAAATACCATTTGACCCAGCAATCCCATTACTGGGTATATACTGAAAGGATTATAAATCTATGTTATACTACTATAAAGACACATGCTCATGTATGTTTATTGCAGCACTATTCACAATAGCGAAGACTTGGAACCAACCCAAATGCTCATCATTGAAATACTGGATAAAGAAAATATGGGACATATACACCATGGAATACAATGCAGCCATAAAAAAGGATGAGTTCATGTCCTTTGCAGGGACATGGAAGAAGCAGGAAAGCATCATCCTCAGTAAACTAACACAGGAACAGAAAACCAAACACTGCATGTTCTCACTCATAAGTAGGAGTTGAACAATGAGAACATCATGGATACAGGGAGGGGAATATCACACATGGGTGCCTGTCAGGAAGTGGAGGGCAGGGGGTGGGAGAGCATTAGGACAAATACCTCATGCATGCAGGGCTTAAAACCTAGATGATGGGCTGATAGGTGCAGCAAACCACCATGACACACGTATACCTATGCAACCAACACATGTGCACATTGAGCACATGTATGCCAGAACTTAAAATAGTTTAAAAAAAAGTGAGAGAGAATCCAAAAAAAGGAGAATCAGAAACGTCATTATTTGAGTGATAGCCTGATATTAGAGAAGCCAGCAAAATACTTTGAGAACTGGACGTCAGAGTGTGCTGTCATAGAAACCAAGGAGATAGAATTTAAAGAAAAAAGAAGAATTGAAGAATTAACAATTTGAAATATCACAGATAGTTAAAGGAAAATGAAACTGTGAGTGATCCATTATATTTAATATCAAAGAGGTCCTGGGTGAAACTGATGAAGGCAATTTTCTTGAAATGGTGGAGACTGATGCCAGACTATGAAAGGTGGAGAAATTATCAGTAAGAAAGTGATTGTAGATTTTTTTAAAAATATTGCTTTAAAAATAATATTGTCAGGTATTGGTAGTTGACCAGATGAAAGTGATTGTAGGCTTTTAATAACAATATTTCAAGAGAACGGAAAAGTAAAAAAAAAAAAAAAAGAAGAAAACATAGATTCAAATAATGCCATCTTTTAACCTTTATTCTTTCACACCGGGTAAACTTGAATATATTTAAATATTGATGGAAAGGGCATATGGAGAAGAAGGAAATGATGAGACTCGATATGTATTAAAGTATACTTATTCCTTTAATAAGTATCCATATGGGATACTTTATTCAAAAACGGCATTCATTTGGGTGGACAGAATTAGCACACAGTGCAAGGAGAACATTAAACTACAATTACCAGAATAGGCATAAATGCAGGTTTGCTGGCAGGATATTGAGAGAGTTCTCTTCTCTAAATATTTTATCTGTATATAGTACAGGTGAGGTATTTATGAAGAACAGCAGCAGTTGGATTAATGTTTGGGGAAAGCGAATCTCACAACAGACAATTTGGAGTAGGAATGAAAGACATGGAAATCAAGGAGGGATTTTCTGGCATCACGGAGGGCTCACTTTAGTATAATGGGCGAGAATATTAGTGACAATAATGTGATGGCATGACTATCTCCAATAGTGTTCAGCAGCTTGGATAGGTCCTGGGAAAATTTGGATAGATCTAAGGTAGTGGCTTTGTCAGACAAGTGAGACAGGAAGTTCATGGGGGAACAGTTAGGTGATTTTGGGCAGAGAGTGGTTTAAATGGTGGCCCAGTTCACATAAGTGAATAAATTGAAGACAAAGAGTTTTATTCTGTAGAAAGCAAGCAGAGAAAAGGAACAGAGATCCTGCTACTTAGAAGAAGACAAAGATGAAGATGAAGATGAACAAAGAGGAGGAGATGGGGGAGGGAAACAAGAAGAAGTGAAAAACAAAAGTCAGTTGTAGTGAAAGCAAATGGACAAGAAATATGAAGGGAGAACTGATGTGGAGAGAGTGCACAATGTCTGAATTTAACATTTTTCAGGTGGCTCAGAGATTTAGCCATTGGTGAGGGAAACAAAAGTGCTGTGTGGAAGAACAGTTTCCTGCAAATGAGACAGTAATGAACTGCGACTGTAAAGTACCATGTTCCCCTGGACTATTTATGTGTCGCAGGGAAGATAAAGGCAAGCCAGAAAACTGGTGAAACCAAAAGTTAGAAGTGCGGCGGCTGATGTCTGGAACTGGGAGTCAGACCACAACTGCTTAGGATGGGATTAGAATGTTCTTTGAAAGCATCAGAACACCCCTGGCTTAGACTAAGCAAAAAGAGAATTATAAGGACATAGAAATGTCATCTCTAATGAGAAATCAAAGCTATAGTGAGAGACTTAAAAAGGACCAGGAACTAGAAATGATCATGTCATTTGGAATTGCCTCCATACCTTTCATACCCTCCTCTTTGTGTGTCTTCTTTAATTCTCTCCATGAAGGCTGTGTTTCTCTAATGTTTTTATCTAGCAAGAGTTGACAACTTAATATCACCTATAATCAATAAATTAGTCCTAAACAAAGGGGGGCACTGTGTGACATAGAAATCTCTCTTTAAAAGAACTTTGAAATTTTTTGACTTCAAAGCCAAGTTTGAAATAAAATTGTTTTTAATGTCCAGTGGAAAGAGTAAGAAGAGTTGAAACAAAGGGATTAGTATGCTACTAAAGCTGTGGGGGCCCTGGGAGCATTTGCGATATCGTGTGAGGTGACAATGAAATGAGAGCACTACAAACATACTGAATGTGGAAGAAATATACCTTTATAGAAGGGTATATGTGCAAATTCCGCCAGATGGCAAAGGGCTATTTCAAGGAAACTTGTCTGTAGTTGGCCTCAGATTCAAGCAGGAAATAGGTCACTTCTCTAAGAATTCTTAGCAAAAGCTCTACTGGCCTCACAGACATGTATACACTTCCTGTATTATACAACAAATTCAAACTAATAGTTAAAATAGTTACGGATTGTTATCTTACTAGGCAGCTGCATGAAGTAAAAACCCATTCTCCCTAGAGAAACAGATTTTAGTACTCTTAGAATTCCTACAGATGAAGTGCAACTTAACATGGAGTCAGGATAAAACGTACAAGAAAAAGTAATGCCCCATGAGGAAGAGTCACCAGTAACTCCCTCAAATAGCAGATTCAGATTTACAATGACTTCATATATTAAAATTTTCAGACATATAATGCAGTGATTTTTTTAAAATAGAAGAAAGTAGAAACAGAAAATGACTGGCTTTCCAAGATGGTTAACATGATTGAAAAAAGAACAATTTCTAGAAACAGTAAATGCAATCACCAAAGTTAAAAACCCACACAATAGGTTAACACAGAATACACACTATTATGCGGGAAAACTTGTGAACTGGAAAATGAATCTGAAGAAATTACTGCTAAGCCAATTCAGAGAGACAATGAAATTAAAAAATATATGAAAGACATGTTAATACATATGAGAGGCAAAATGAAAACATCTAATTTGTCCTGCAAAAATATTTTAATAGGAGAGCAAAGATGGAGGACTCACCCAACCTGATTTCAAAACTTATTATAAAAACACAGTAAATAAGACAGTTTGATAATCAAAAAAAGACTGATATTGAAATCAATGGAAAATAATAAAAGTAAGAAAAAGATGAACACACATATAGATCATTTATTTTCAAACATGTTGTAAACATTGTTCTATGAAGAATGGTCTCTACAACAAATTAAACCAGACAATTGTATCAAAAAAAAGAACTTCATACATCATGTAATATAAAAAATGAAATAAAAATATAAATGAATAAAAACAGAGTTAAACTTAAAACTCTAAATCTTCTTGCAGAATAAATTGTTGTTACCTTGGGTTAGGCCAAAAACAAATCACTAAAGAAAAAAATTATAATCGTACTTTGTCAAAATTAACAACTTCAGTTTTTCAATCTAAGTGTTTCACTTAACAGATTGAAAAGACAAGATACAGATCAGGGGAGAATATTTGCAAATCATGTATCTGATAAAAGACTGGTATATGAAATATATAAGAGTTCTCTAAAGTCAATAGTAAGAAAACACAACATAATAAAAAGAATGGGAGAAAAGATCTGAAGAGATACTCCAACAAATAAGATATATAGATTATAAATAAACACATGAAAAGGCACAAATTAAGACCACAAAAAGATGCCGCTATATGCTTCAGAAAATGGCAAAAACATAATGCAAACTGATAATACTAATTATTGGAAAGGATCTGGAGCAACAGGAATTTTCACACATTGCTAATTAGATTGCAAAATTGTGCAACTACTTTATAAGCAGTTTGGCCTTTTCTTTGAAAGTTAAGCGTACATTTCCTATATGACTAAAAAATACAGCTTCTGTGTATTTACCCAAGTGAAAACAAAACATATTAGCACAAATCCTGATAGGAACATTTTAATCAAAAAGTATACATAATGTCCTTCAATTGGTGAATGGATAAACAAATTGTGATATATTTACATACTGGGATATTGTTCAGTAATAAAAAATAGTACTAAATACTGTTACATGACAACATGGATGACCCTTCAATGCATTATGCTAAGTCAAAGTATTAATGGCCAGACTCAAAAGGCTGCATACTATAGATTACATGACATTCATTAAAGGCAAAAATGAAGATCAATGACTGCCAGCGGTTGGAGGTTTGGGAAAGTTAAACTATGAATAGGCACAGAATTGAGGAGGGTTAATAGAGCTATTTTATACTTTGATTAAGGTGATGGTTACACAAGTGTGGGCATTTGTTAAATTCACAGAACTCTTCACTAAAATGGCTGAATTTTACTGTATTTAAATGATATCTTAATAAATGAAAAACAATTGATAATTTTTATAGTATTTAGGTTTAAGTACACTACAATGTCATGGTTTTTCAACCATTCGACCTATAAAAATGGCAATTTTATATGGTTAAACCTAAAACACTTTAAAAATTTTAATGCAGTTAGATCATACTTTGAGAAGAAATTGTAGTCCATAATGGACTCTTTAATAAAAGAAAGACTAAAACTTCAATAATTAAACTTCTTATTTAATAAATTAGGTTAAAATATGAATAAATCATTGAGTGCCAATATGGATAAATTTGATATCTCAAAATAACTACTCAACTAAAAACACATTTAAAATATGAAAAAAAGTCGCCTGTATTCTATGGGGACTTTGTGGGAGAAAATATATGTGTCAAGTGAAATTCATAATATATGATTTTCTTAAATATATAAATAAGTTCAGCAAATCATGAGAGAAATTTAAACAAGTAGAAAATGGTATACAATTGCGAACTGACAATTTATAGAGATAGAATCATAAATGGGCAATAAAGCATGAAATCCTTTTCTTGATATGAAATAAGTAAGTACAACTGAAAACTACAGGAATTTTCCTTCTGGATATGACAGAATGTCTTGTAGAAGATCAACACTTCTGTCACAAACAGAATTTTAAAAATCCTTTGAAGTCACAGAAGAGCTGCTGAGGCAGCCCTGGCTTGATGAGAAAGGATCCTTGAGAAAATGCAAGTGTGTGTGTGTGTGTGTGTGTGTGTGTGTGTGTGTGTGTGTGCGCGCGCGCGCGCACGCTTGTGAATGTGGGTGTGGTGCGTGAAGCATGACATATTGCCATCACTTTTGCCCTTGGATCATTTGATGATTTTAATTATGGTAGGGCATCAAACTGAGAAGTTAAGCAAAAGGCAGTGGAGCTTTTTGCAATCTATGTGAATAGAGACATAAAAATTAGAGTTTGGGTCTATGAAAGCAGCTAAGAGATTTAGGTCCAAGATCCCAGGGAGAAGGGAAGTGTGAAGATGTTGAAAGTCTCAAATGATTCAGAGTGTCTTTTTTTTTTTTTTTCAGTTATGCAGCGTAAGCTTAGGTGCTAACATGAATCACCAACTATTTAAAAAAAAAAAAAACCTTTTAAGAACAGAATAATTTTCAAAATAAAATACTGAAAATTATAAAATAATAATCTAGAGAACTAGCTGTGAGGATAAGTTATCTCTGTAGGTCACATTATACTGTGGTTAAAAGAGCTGATAATATATTTAATGTGTCCTTAAGATAAAAAGTTATTTAAACAATTTTATTAACTAAGCTATAAACAAGGAACTATTAAAAATTTATATTTTGCTAAAACTAAATATTTTAGTAAGTGCAAGTCATTACTAACTTCTTTAATTAAAAAAAGGTTTTTCATGGATTTCAACTTACCCTAAAATAGAAGAAACATTAACAAAGGCTATTTGGCAGGCATTTCTTTTTACTGAGACAGAGATAAAAACTAACATGAATAAATAAATGGTCTATGATGTTCCAGACACTGCTTGACAAATATTAAGGCTATCATTACTACAATATTTGGATGAGGGACTTGGCATTACCATCACAATTATCAACAAATCCGTTTTCTTTTCATTTGAGCACAAAATTAAACCATGTGTCCTAGCCCTTTTGCATCTAGCTGATGCCAAATGAATAGGTATCCCCCCAAAAATTTAAGGTAAGTGATCTAGATCAATTGCATTTCAGAACAATGGAGAGCAGATATGCCTGCCTTCTTTATCCTCTCTTTTTGCCCTTCTTTATTCTTGATAATGGTAGGAAAACCTTAAAGCCACGTATAAATAAATGTCCAATGGAAGCTGGCCCTCTGAATGAGTACGAAGACATAATGTTCCCACCTGCTCCATAGCTCCATAGCTACTTTACTTTCTTCTTTCTTCTCTCTCTCTCTCTCTCTCTCTCTCACACACACACACACACACACACACACACACACACACACACAGAAACAACCTTCAATGGATGCTTATGGAATTAAGACATAAATTTTATTTCTAAATAAAAGTAACTGAATCTCTGGGCTTTATCTAGCAGCTAGGATTGTTTACCCTAACTAACAGAAGGAAAATAAAGTTCTGAGAAGCTAGGTTACAGAAACTTGAGTTATCTTAATCATTGGGTTATTGGATTATATTCTTTGTGGTCAGTTAGGTAATTATTATCTATAGAACTGATGACTTCTTATTGAGAAATGCTTGTAGAGAAGAATCCTTGATAATATTTCTTGTTATAGAAAAAGCTCATTAATCAATGCTTCATTTTCATGTGTAAATTCCGCTAACAACGAGGAAAGGGGCAATTATTAAAGTGTTAGAAATTATTAAAGGTCTATTCATAAAGTATTTTCAAAATGTCACTTAGATAAATCCTGCACATAATGAATAAAGCACAAATATCTTTCTTCATCTAAATGTGATTGACCTTTACAATGGCAACAGAAATTCTGAGACAAGTATTGTAAGGCTAATTTTAAGTAACTATAAGATTATGCAACATTTGCATAAAATGATATTTTTGTATTAGATTCACATGTATGACTTCATTAGTTTTGCATTTCAGGTCATTGATGCATTATTTTGTATATTTTTAAAAATATTCCTTGTTTAATGAACTGTAAAGTGGTGAATCTTTGCTAAACCGAAACCTGGAAGATAAGAAAATTAATTTCATTTTCTTCTTTTATATTATGAATTTAAGGCTGTCCAATGTCACCCAGAGCTCTACTGTAAAAATCAAAATTCAGGAGGTCACATATATGTTCAATAAAAACCTGGGATTTTAAAATTTAAATCTATTGACATATGCTTTTGCAGAATTTTTAATAATTATAAAAGAGGCTTTTTTTCTGAAATTGTGAAAAATTTGTAGTATTTTTATTTTGCTTTATATTTCTTTATAATGTTGATTGGAAAACAGTTTTTCTATAGATGATTTTCTGCAGGTTACTCTCTAACCAAGTTGCTGGGAAAATTCAGAGAGCTTGCATTTAATTCCCAAGGCAAGCTTTATGCTACGATTTCTAGTTTTAACAAGGTTAGACTGGAAAGAACAGACATAACCCTTAAGGAAATCTAAATCTGTTTCTCGTTTAAATGTCCAGAAATGAACATAATTATTTACAGAGAGGGAAAGTTATATACATTTTTTCCTAGCAGAATATTAAATCATTGTTTGGATAATTGTAGTCTTGGAGAGTAAGATACTTGAAGCTGAAGCCCAAAGTCCTATGAATAAGAGATGTCAGTTGGAGACTACTTCCAAACTTGTTCCCTCATAATGACAAGTTGGCTTCATGAAACTCCAAGAATTATCCCCTTGGGGTAAGGGGTTGGGTAACCAGAAATTGAAAAACAAGTACAATAGTTCCTTCTCTCCATTTTTTAAATTATTAAAGATTTACAAGAATGCTTGTAACAGATATATCCCACAGTACTAATTAGTAAAAATCTTGTCACCTGTCCAATCCTAACTTAATCACCAGTAATTAGAGTAGGATTAATATTACATGACTGGCTTAGATTAATAAATGTTTATCCCTGAGGTTTGGAAGTTGCCAATCTCTCTTGAAGTTTACAGATTCCTAAAGCCAAATGCAAGTGTGATCCATTAAGGAATACAAGGAATGATTGTAATGCAGCAAGCAGCATTGCCCACCACAATATGTAATCAATATTGTCTGAATAGATAATCTGGCATTTTTGAAGGATGCCACGATTTTGTATATTATCGTTTCTTGGTTAGTTTAGGTTTTCTTTACTTTTTTAAAGAGCAATTAAGTATTCAAAAGAGGCTTTTGAATTGGATTATAGTTGATATTATCTAAATGAAGCATTTGATTTCTCATTGAATTGATATAGGAGTAGCCTAATTCAAACTAATTAATTAGATGCGGCTTCTTCCCCCTGCATTTTACTCATCAACAAATAGAATAATTCTTTAAAATTGTTACGTAATTATAACATTTATACTAGTATAATTTATACTAGTATAATTCTACATATATACTAGTATAATATACTAGTACAATTATACTAGTATAATTCTTTAAAATTATACTAGTAATGTTAGAGATAAATGTATATAATGAATATCATACATATGTCTTCAATTGACCTAATGATAGTTTTGCATCCAGAAAAATGGTAATCTCGTTAGAGAGTGCCTAGGCTTGGTTCAGTTACTAGACCCTGGCAATCAATAGAGTTGTAGCAGAGACTGCTAGTTGCAGTTTCAATACTCATTCTCTCTTTTTTTCTTAGAAGCAAAAATGAAAGAAAAAAGAAACGGGAATAAAAGGAAGGAAGAATGAAGAGAACAATACAAAAGCTCAGTTAAGGTCTACATATCCCTGCCTATATTGCAGCTAACTATTCACAACTGCCCATGTAAAAAGGTTCTGGCTGATGGTACAAGCAAAAATGATTTGGGGGAATAACAGAGAACCCCTCAAATAGGGACAAAAAGGCTTTGGAATGGCTTTTTTTTAAGGCTTTTATTTTATCACTCTTATCAAACACACATCAGAAAGCATATCAACAGTGCATCTTATGGTAAGTCAGTTTACAACAAAGCTGAACAAGGCAATTGTGTTTACAGAAAAAGTCTTCAGCAAAAAAGTATGCAATATAGTCAACTGAAATGCATTGTTCATACTTTTTAATGAGAACTTTGAAGGCCGAAGTGGAGAAGGGTTCCATGTGAACAGCAGTTGAACGTGTGTCAGTCAGTCCTGAGAGAAGGGCCAGCGCCATTCCAATGGAATGGCTTTTTAAACAAGTCTTTATTCTGCTTTTTGGTAGTCAATGTATATGTGGTGGTTGGAACTGCCTCTGCTGTCTTAGACTGTGGGGGTTTGTGAAGATAAATGACAAAGACGTGGAGCATAAAGATAAATGGGACACATCTGCAATGACACAGATGAACCTGCAGGGCATTATATTAAATGAAATAAGCCAGGCACAGAAAGACAAACACCACACAGTCTCATTCACATCTGGAATCTAAGCAAAATGTTAATTTCATAGAACTAAAGAGCAGAATGGTGATTACCAGGGGCTGGGGCAGCTAGGGCTGTGGGGGAGTTGGGGAGATGTTAGTTAAAGAGTACAAAATTTCAGTTAAATATAAGGAATACATATTGTATTCCTATTGTACCACATGGTGGCTATAGTTAATAACAATATATTGTATCCTTGAAAAATGCTAAAGGAGTGAAGGAACGTTCTCACCACAAAATTGATAACCAGGGAAGGTAATGCACATATTCATTGGCTAAATTTAGTCATCTCATAATGTAAGTATACTTCCAAACATCACATTGCACATGATAAACACATAGAATTGTACCTGTCAATTAAAAGTTTTAAAACAATGTAAGAGATAAATGGAACCCAATAACAGTGGACCCTACATGAGCCCCAGCCTGCCCATATGAAGACATTTATTATGTAGAACACATAAGCAAACAGATATCTTTTTAGTTATTTCTTGTCTCTAGTCATAATAGATAAATGCACTTCTTAGCTATGTTTCCTGAATCCATAGGAATGTACCATGGAACAGATAATTATTATATTAATAATAATAGCAATAATGACAAAAATAAACATTGCTGTGAATCACTTTACCAAGAAATACAATTAATAATCCTTCATTTTACAAGTTCATGGGAGGGAAATAAAACCCTATAGGCCATGTATAACTGGCATTTGAAAACACTTTAGAACTTGGATATCTATGATGTGGTTTTTTTAATTTTATTATTATTATACTTTAAGTTTCAGGGTACATGTGCACAATGTGCAGGTTTGTTACATACGTATACATGTGCCATGTTGGTGTGCTGCACCCATTAACTCGTCATTTAGCATTAGGTATATCTCCAAATGCTGTGCCTCCCCCCTCCCCACACCCCACAACAGTGCCCGGAGTGTGATGTTCCCCTCTTGTGTCCATGTGTTCTCATTGTTCAGTTCCCACCTATGAGTGAGAACATGTGGTGTTTGGTTTTTTGACCTTGTGATAGTTTGCTGAGAATGATGGTTTCCAGCTTCATCCATGTCCCTACAAAGGACATGAACTCATCATTTTTTATGGCTGCATAGTATTCCATGGTGTATATGTGCCACATTGTCTTAATTCAGTCTATTGTTGTTGGACATTTGGGTTGGTTCCAAGTCTTTGCTATTGTGAATAGTACTGCAATAAACATATGTGTGCATGTGTCTTTATAGCAGCATGATTTATAATCCTTTGGGTATATACCCAGTAATGGGATGGCTGGGTTAAATGGTATTTCTAGTTCTAGATCCCTGAAGAATTGCCACACTGACTTCCACAATGGTTGAACTAGTTTCCAGTCCCACCAACAGTGTAAAAGTGTTCCTATTTCTCCACATCCTCTCCAGCACCTGTTGTTTCCTGACTTTTTAATGATCGCCGTTCTAACTGGTGTGAAATGGTATCTCATTGTGATTTTGATTTGCATTTCTCTGATGGCCAGTGATGATGAGCATTTTTTCATGTGTTTTTTGGCTGCATAAATGTCTTCTTTTGAGAAGTGTCTGTTCATGTCCTTCGCCCACTTGTTGATGGGGTTGTTTGTTTTTTTCTTGTAAATTTGTTGGAGTTCATTGTAGATTCTGGATATTAGCCCTTTGTCAGATGAGTAGGTTGCGAAAATTTTCTCCCGTTTTGTAGGTTGCCCATTCACTCTGATAGTGGTTTCTTTTGCTGTGCAGAAGCTCTTTAATTAGATCCCATTTGTCAATTTTGGCTTTTGTTGCTATTGCTTTTGGTGTTTTAGACATGAAGTCCTTGCCCATGCCTATGTCCTGAATGGTATTGCCTAAGTTTTCTTCTAGGGTTTTTATGGTTTTAGGTCTAACATGCAAGTCTTAATCCATCTTGAATTAATTTTTTGTATAAGGTGTAAGGAAGGGATCCAGTTTCAGCTTTCTACATATGGCTAGCCAGTTTTCCCAGCACCATTTATCAAATAGGGAATCCTTTCCCCATTGCTTGTTTTTGTCAGGTTTGTCAAAGATCAGATGGTTGTAGATATGTGGCATTATTTCTGAGGGCTCTGTTCTGTTCCATTGATCTATATCTCTGTTTTGGTACCAGTACCATGCTGTTTTGGTTACTGTAGCCTTGTAATATAGTTTGAAGTGAGGTAGCGTGATGCCTCCGGCTTTGTTCTTTTGGCTTAGGATTGACTTGGTGATGCGGGCTAGTTTTTGGTTCCATATGAACTTTAAAGTAGTTTTTTCCAATTCTGTGAAGAAAGTCATTGGAAGCCATTGGTAGCTTGATGGGGATGGCTTTGAATCTATAAATTACCTTGGGCAGTATGGTCATTTCCATGATACTGATTCTTCCTACCCATGAGCATGGAATGTTCTTCCATTTGTCTGTATCCTCTTTTATTTCATTGAGCAGTGGTTTGTAGTTCTCCTTGAAGAGGTCCTTCACATCCCTTGTAAGTTGGATTCCTAGGTATTTTATTCTCTTTGAAGCAATTGTGAATGGGAGTTCACTCATGATTTGGCTCTCTGTCTGTTATTGGTGTATAAGAATGCTTGTGATTTTTGCACATGGATTTTGTATCCTGAGACTTTGCTGAAGTTGCTTATCAGCTTAAGGAGATTTTGGGCTGAGACAGTGGGGTTTTCTAAATATACAATCTTGTCATCTGCAAACAGGGACAATTTGACTTTCTCTTTTCCTAATTGAATACCCTTTATTTCCTTCTCCTGCCTAATTGCCATGGCGAGAACTTCCAACACTGTGTTGAATAGGAGTGGTGAGTGAGGGCATCCCTGTCTTGTGCCAGTTTTCAAAGGGAATGCTTCCAGTTTTTGCCCATTCAGTATGATATTGGCTGTGGGTTTGTCATAGATAGCTCTTATTATTTTGAGATACGTCCCATCAATACCTAATTTATTGAGAGTTTTTAGCATGAAGGGTTGTTGAATTTTGTCAAAGGTCTTTTCTGCATCTATTGAGATAATCATGTGGTTTTTGTCATTGGTTCTCTTTATATGCTGGATTACATTTACTGATTTGCGTATGTTGAACCAGCCTTGCATCCCAGGGATGAAGCCCACTTGATCATGGTGGATAAGCTTTTTGATGTGCTGATGGATTCGGTTTGCCAGTATTTTATTGAGGATTTTTGCATCAATATTCATCAAGGATATTGGTCTAAAATTCTCTTTTTTGGTTGTGTCTCTGCCCGGCTTTGGTATCAGGATGATGCTGGCCTCATAAAATGAGTTAGGGAGGATTCCCTCTTTTTTTATTGATTGGAATAGTTTCAGAAGGAATGGTACCAGCTCCTCCTTGTACCTCTGGTAGAATTCGGCTGTGAATCCATCTGGTCCTGGACTTTTTTTGGTTGGTAAGCTATTGATTATTTCCACAATTTCAGAGCCTGTTATTGGTCTATTCAGAGATTCAGCTTCTTCCTGGTTTAGTCTTAGGAGGGTGTGTCGAGGAATTTATCCATTTCTTCTAGATTTTCTAGTTTATTTGCATAGAGATGTTTGTAGTATTCTCTGATGGTAGTTTGTATTTCTGTGGGATCAGTGGTGATATCCCCTTTATCATTTTTTATTGCATGTATTGATTCTTCTCTCTTTTCTTCTTTATTAGTCTTGCTAGTGGTCTATCAATTTTGTTTATCTTTTCAAAAATCCAGCTCCTGGATTCAATAATTTTTTGAAGGGTTTTTTGTGTCTCTATTTCCTTTAGTTCTGCTCTCATTTTAGTTATTTCTTGCCTTCTGCTAGCTTTTGAATGTGTTTGCTCTTGCTTTTCTAGTTCTTTTAATTGTGATGTTAGGGTGTCAATTTTGGATCTTTCCTACTTTCTCTTGTGGGCATTTAGTGCTATAAATTTCCCTCTACACACTGCTTTGAATGTGTCCCAGAGATTCTGGTATGTTGTGTCTTTATTCTCGTTGGTGTCAAAGAACGTCTTTATTTCTGCCTTCATTTCGTTATGTACCCAGTAGTCATTCAGGAGCAGGTTGTTCAGTTTCCATGTAGTTGAGTGGTTTTGAGTGAGTTTCTTAATCCTGAGTTCTAGTTTGATTGCACTGTGGTCTGAGACACAGTTTGTTATAATTTCTGTTCTTTTACATTTGCTGAGGACTGCTTTACTTCCAACTATGTGGTCAATTTTGGGATAGGTGTGGTGTGGTGCTGAAAAAAATGTATAATCTGTTGATTTGCGGTGGAGAGTTCTGTAGATGTCTATTAGGTCCGCTTGGTGCAGAGCTGAGTTCAATTCCTGGGTATCCTTGTTGACTTTCTGTCTTGTTGATCTGTCTAATGTTGACAGTGGGGTGTTAAAGTCTCCCATTATTATTGTGTGGAAGTCTAAGTCTCTTTGTAGGTCACTCAGGACTTGCTTTATGAATCTGGGTGCTCCTGTATTGGGTGCATATGTATTTAGGATAGTTAGCTCTTCTTGTTGAATTGATCCCTTTAACAGTATGTAATGGCCTTCTTTGTCTCTTTTGATCTTTGTTGGTTTAAAGTGTTTTATCGGAGAGTAGGATTGCAACCCCTGCCTTTTTTTGTTTTCCATTTGCTTGGTAGATCTTCCTCCATCCCTTTATTTTGAGCCTATGTGTGTCTCTGCACGTGAGATGGGTTTCCTGAATACAATACACTGATGGGTCTTGACTCTTTATCCAATTTGCCAGTCTGTGTCTTTTAACTGGAGCATTTAGCCCATTTACATTTAAAGTTAATATTGTTATGTGTGAATTTGGTCCTGTCATGATGTTATCTGGTTATTTTGCTCATTAGTTGATGCAGTTTCTTCCTAGCCTTTATGGTCTTTGCATTTTGGCATGTTTTTGCAGTGGCTGGCACTGGTTGTTCCTTTCCATGTTTAGTGCTTCCTTCAGGAACTCTTTTAGCTCAGGCCTGGTGGTGGCGAAATCTCTCACCATTTGCTTGTCTGTAAAGGATTTTACTTCTCCTTCACTTATGAAGCTTAGTTTGGCTGAATATGAAATTCTGGGTTGAAATTTCTTTAAGAATGTTGAATATTGGCCCCCACTCTCTTCTGGCTTGTAAGTCGTTCTCCATCCAGCTTTGTTCCATTGCTGGTGAGGAGCTGCATTCCTTTGGTGGAGGAGAGGCACTCTGCTTTTTAGAGTTTCCAGTTTTTCTGCTCTGTTTTTTCCCCATCTTTGTGGTTTTATCTACTTTTGGTCTTTGATGATGGTGATGTACAGGTGGGTTTTTGGTGTGGATGTCCTTTCTGTTTGTTAGTTTTCCTTCTAACAGACAAGACCCTCAGTTGCAGGTCTGTTGGAGTTTGCTAGAGGTCCACTCCAGACCCTGTTTGCCTGGGTATCAACAGCGGTGGCTGCAGAAGAGTGGTGGCTGTAGAACAGCGGATATTGGTGAACTGCAAATGCTGCTGCCTGATCGTTCCTCTGGAAGTTTTGTCTCAGAGGAGTACCTGGCTGTGTGAGGTGTCAGTCTGCCCCTACTGGGGGGTGCCTCCCAGTTAGGCTACTCGGGGTTCAGGGACCCACTTGAGGAGGCAGTCTGACCGTTCTCAGATCTCCAGCTGCCTGCTGGGAGAACCACTACTCTCTTCAAAGCTGTCAGACAGGGACATTTAAGTCTGCAGAGGTTACTGCTGTCTTTTTTTGTTTGTCTGTGCCCTGCCCCAAGAGGTGGAGCCTACAGAGGCAGGAAGGCCTCCTTGAGCTGTGGTGGGCTCCACCCAGTTTGAGCTTCCCGGCTGCTTTGTTTACCTAATCAAGCCTGGGCGATGGTGGGCGCCCCTCCCCCAGCCTCGCTGTGGCCTTGCAGTTTGATCCCAGACTGCTGTGCTAGCAATCAGTGAGACTCCGTGGGCCTAGGACCCTCCGAGCCAGGTGCAGGATATAATCTCCTGGTGTGCCATTTTTTAAACCCGTTGGAAAAGCGCAGTATTAGGGTGGGAGTGACTCGATTTTCCAGGTGCCATCTGTCACCCCTTTCTTTGAGTAGGAAAGGGAACTCCCTGACCCCTTGCACTTCCCGAGTGAGGCAATGCCTTGCCCTGCTTCGGCTTGCGCAGGGTGTGCTGCACCCACTGCCCTGCACCCCCTGTCTGGCACTCCCTAGTGAGATGCACCTGGTACCTCAGATGGAAATGCAGAAATCACCCATCTTCTGCATCACTCATGCTGGGAGCTGTAGATGGGAGCTGTTCCTATTTGGTCGTCTTGGCTCCAACCCCCCCCCCCCCCCGATGTTTTTAATTATTTGTTTTGAACTACTCCAAGTTATAAAGTCTTTTCAAATGCCAGTTATATGTGACCTACAGGGATTTATTTCCCTCCCATGTATTTGTAAAATGAAAGATTATTAATTGTATGTTTTGGTAAAGTAACTCCCAGAAATGTTTACTTTTTTATGTAATGTGGTATATAATGTAATGTAATGTGGAATATAAAAAAATCTGATATATAAGTTGATAATTATTCTCACAGTACTTCAAAAAATTTAAGATCTAATTGCTGTAAAATTCTCTATAAATAATGTTATTTTAACACCTCATTTTCACTTTATATTTTATTGTTTGAATGTTACATTTATTTGTATAATCTTTCTAATTAACTGTTAAAGAAGAGGTCTAGTATTTTGTATGTTTTAGTGATCCTCACAACTTACTGTAATGCCACATATACCTTTTCAACAATATGATAGCTCTATTTCTTGTTATTAGAAGTTTGCATTGATAATAATAGCCTAAGTTCCCCATTATGGAACATTTGTATATGGTGAAAGTTTGACTCTTATGCATTATGTGAAAAAGGAGAACTTTGCTCATAAATATTTGATCATTGCTTTGCTTATTTCTTTAGAATATATTTTTAAGCAAATAATTGGTTCAAGATACATAAATTATTTTAATATTATTAATGCCTAGTGTCAAATTGTTTTCCAGACATTTGTATCATTTAAAATATAGTTACAATAATCAAAAACAGGAGCATAGACTTTAAAAATTGAACTAAAGATAGACCAATGCCAGAATTTCAGTCAGGACAATGGATAAGAGGGTAATACATACATGAGACAGATAGAAATAGTATTGTAAAGGCTTTGAAAACCAGGTAAATCCTAGAACCACAACCCATGGGAAGCTGCTTAGAACTTACTTTCTAATACCAATCTAGTTGATTACTTGATAAAGGAAAAATATCATTGTTCTCTAGATGATTCAAACATGACCTAGAGTCTAGTTATATAAAATTAAAACTATTCAGGATATAATTTAAAATTACATATGTATAAATAAGAAAATCCCAACTTGCATCAGAAAAAATAAGTAACAGAAGCATATACCAATATGATGTAGATGTGAGAATTATCTGGCAAAGGTTTTAACTCACATCTAAAAATGCACCAGCATGCACAATTACAAACATTCTTGGGTAAATGAATATATGAAAGACTTAGCAAAGAAATAGAAGATACGAATAGCATTTTTAAAAATATAAAAGGAAAATTCTTAATAGCTGGATAACTGAATAGCAGAATTGAGATTTGAAAACAAAGGCAGTGAATTTGAAGATAAATAAAGAGAAATTATGAAACCTGAAAAACAGAGAGAAAAAAGAAAGAGCACAATTTGGGACCTGTGGGACTTTAACAAAATATCTAACATTCATGACAGTAGAATACCATAAAGAGAGGAAAAAAGACTGCAATGTCAAAAAAAAAAAAAAGTTTTGAAGAATTGTTTGTAAACTTCCCAATTTGGTGAAAGACATAAGACATACAGATTCAAGAATCTAACTGAACCCCAAACAAAATAACATTCAAAGAAATCTATGCTCTGGTACATGATAATAAAACTGGTGAAACATTTTCAAGATGGCATTTAAAAGCAGCCAGAAGGAAATGATGCATCAACTATAGGGAAAAAAATGTTTGAAGGACAGTTGATTTCTTATCAGAAATCCCAGAGAATAGAAGGAAGTGGCAAAATATTTTTAAAGTGCTTGATATGGTTTGGCTATGTCTCCACCCAAATCTCATCTTGAATGATTGTAACTTCCATAATTCCCACATGTTGTGGATGGGACCTGGTGGGAGATAACTGAATTATGGGGGGCAGTTTCAACCATAGTGTTCTCTTAGTAGTGAATAAGTCTCATGACATCTGATGGTTTTATAAAGGGAAACCCCTTTCACTTGGTTCTCATCCTTTCTTTTCTGCTGCCATGTAAGACATGCCTTTCAGCTTCTGCCATGATTGTGAGGCCTCCCCAGCCACGTGGAACTGTGAGTCCAGTAAATCTCTTTTTCTTTATAAATTACCCAGTCTCAGGTATGTCTTTATCAGCAGCATGAAAACGGGCTAATACAATTCTTAAAGACAATCTGTCAACCCAGAAATTACAGACATTGTTAGAATGGAGTAACAGAACAAAACAATCATGGCTATCTACAAGAAACTCACTTTGAATATATTAATAGATAGCTTAAAAGAAAGTTCTCAAATTACTGATCTAAACTTTTTCTGATCCCCAAACAAAGAAAATAATACTAGAGATTAATATCCATTATAATAAACACAGAGGCAAAATTTTTAACAAAATATTAACAAATCAAACCTAATCGTATATAAATGTATATTATAACAGGACCAGGCTGGGTTTATCTAAGAATGCAAATTTGATTGAATAATTTAAAATCAATGCATATTATTCACAAATTAAATATTACAATTTTTTTGAAATACATGATCATTTCAATAGGTACAGAAAAGGTACTTGACAATGTTCGACAAATCTGATAAGAAAAAAACATAATAAATTTAAAAATAAAGGGATAAAAATCAAAATTGATTTAAAAATAAAAATCATAATAAATTAAAAATACATCCTAAAAATTCAAAAATAAAGGAGATAAACTGTTTTCAGTCTCTCTCCTGATTGTGGTGGTGGTGACTCTTATTGTTTTTCAGTGATCTAGAACTACATCAATAAAAGATATTCATTTCACTTATTTTATATCTCAATTAAAAATATAAAAATAAAGCTATAAAACCACATACACATATATACATAAAATATTGACTTATGTTTTAACTTTAAAGTTATAAATAACAATTCTTATAATTAACATTCCATGTTTCACATGTCCTATTTGAACTTAAATGTATAATAATTTGAAAATCTATATTCACCCTGATGAGGAAATCAGTTCTGTTATTATGTAGTACTGACCTTTTCATGATGCCAGATCCCCTTAATGTCTAAAATTACCCAAATTTATTTTTTCATTGATACTCTAGCCTTCCTGCTCACAATATTTCTGTTATATAAAATTTTCAAGTTTCATGGACTTTAATCATGGAAATAACTTAAGAGTGTATTCTTAGAAAGAGAATAATTGTCCTAAGGTAAAAGGTAATATAGCAAATATGGCAGTAGATGCATTTTTGGTATGACAACTTTTTTCAAAGTAGGGTATTTTCTTAGTGTGTTTTCTGCTGCTATAATGGAATACCACAGGCTGAGTAATTTATTTAAAAGGGACATTTATTTCTCACAGTTCTGGGGGTTGGGAAGTCCAAGAGCATGGCACTGGCATCTGGTGAGTGTGACCCTATCATGGAAGGCAGAAGGCAGATGCAAGCAAATAAGTCATAGAGAAAATGGGGACCAAATTTTCCCTGTTTACCAGGAGCCCACTCTTGCAATAACTAACCACTCCTGAGATAATGGTATTGAATAATTCATGAGGGCAGATCCCCCATGCTCTAATCACCTCTTAAAGATCCCACCTACCAACACTGTGACTATAGCTATTACATTTCCCACACATGAATCTTGAGGGATGTATTCAAACCATAGCATTACCTCCTTGCCCTCCAGATTTATATCTTTTTCACAATGCAAAACACAATCATTCTATCATAATATTTTCATAAGTCTTAACTTGTTCGACCATCAACTCAAAATCCAAAGTCTAGAGCCTCATCTAGATTTGATCTGGGTGAAACTCAAAGCATAATTTGTAATGAGGCAGATTCCTCCAATGGTGAGTCCAAAAAATCAAATCAAATTACCTACTTTCAAAATACAATGGTGGGACAGGCATAGGATAGACATTCTGAAAAGGGAGAAATGGGCAACAAGAAAAGGACAACCATCCCCAAGTAAGTCCAAAATCCAAAAGGAAAAACAACATTAAGTTTTAAAGCTGGGGAATTATCTCCTTTAACTTCCTGTCCCACAACCTAGGCACACTGGGCAGAATGGGCTCCCAGTGCCTCAGACAGCCCCACTCCTGTGGTTTTCCTGGGCTCAGTTCATGCTTCAGCTCTCTCGGGTTGGAGTTACATACTGGCTCTGGGTTCCTAGGGGCTGTCTCACTGCCACAGCTTCACTAGGCATTGCCCTACTGGGGAATCTCTCTGGAAACTTCAAATCCACATTTTCACTAGGCATTAACCTAGTAGGGTCTCTCTGCATTGGCTTCGCTCCCATGGCTCTGGTTTGGCTGGCAGTTCTGAAGGTTGGGATTCTAAAGCATGATACCAGCATCTAGCAAGGGTCGTCTCATGGTGGAAGGTATAATGCAGTAGTAGGCATGTGAGAGAGGGAAACTGAGGGCTAGACCTCCCCCTTTCATCAGTTTCCCACTCCCACAATAACCAACTTACTCCTGTGTGTTCATAACATTAATCTGTCCTGAATACAGATTCCATATTACCTAATTACCTCTTAAAGTTCCCATCTTCCAATACTTACTACGTCAATTAGAATGCAACACATGAACTTTAGGGGATATACGAAAACCATAGCAGTTTTGCTAATCAGATATTTTATCTCTAGTGATCCATCCAAGAGTAAAACTACTCCAAAGTACTGATATTCCAAAGTTTAGAACTGAGCTCATTAGGAGTCAATGCATTTATTGATTTTATCTCTAAACAATTTGGCAATGAAAGAGTACAAAATAACTCTAGGGCAGACAGCCAAAAAATAGCAGCAGATCCCTCTTATATAGAAGACACATTCTTTGTCTTATAATCCAAACAACGCTCTAAAATGTTATTAAGTTGGGCTTAATGTTTTGTGTTTAATGTTGTGGTTGATGTCACAGGGTTTTAAAAATACATTAGTTTTTCAAGCTCCTTTTTTGGTTTATTAGACTCTATTATTCAATTCTGGGCCCCCTCTCTCTCATTCCTCTCTTCCATTTTTTTTCTCTATGATTTTCTTAAAATACTCTTAATTACCGAAAATGTATCATTTTTTCTTGGGCCATTTACTATGTTAACCCCTAGTCAGAAACCTGACTAGGAACAGAAGAAAAGGCTTAGTGGGATATATGAAGAGAGTTTTAAGAAGATAATTTATAGAGGAGTAGGCAACAAAAATGAAAAGAGTTTAAAGCCTCTGGGACCAAGCAACAGTGGGAAATTATCATCATGTTTTGGCCTAAATGGACAAGGGAAGGGACCCTTGCTGGAACCCAGTGAAGGCTATTTCCTTGAGAATGAGGCCCAGACAGAAGCTATGGCTCTAGTAGAAGAATGCAGAACCTACTGAATTGTGGACTGAATGGCAGGAAACAAAGGAAATCAATACCAAGCCACTATCTTTTTTTGCCAGACTCCATTTAATTTAACTCAAATGGAAACTCTAGGAAACAGTTTCTCTCATTCAAAGAGAAAGACAGCGAAGGATAGAGAATACACCTAGAGGTTCAAACGAAGACTATATACTACAATATAGCAACCACTCTATACCTTTGGTTGAAAAAAAAACTGTGTTCTCAAAATAGAAAAATACAAATCTTCAGTAGTTTTGTCTTGAGTTTCCACAGTTTTCCATGAATAGTGTTATCAAGTGATACGGTTTGGCTCTGTGTTCTCACCCAAATCTCATCTTAATTGTAATCCTGATATGCCAAGGGGGGACCTGCAATCCCCACATGTCGAGGGAAGGAGGTAATTGGATCATGGGGATGGTTTCTCCCATGCTGTTTTCATAATAGTGAGTGAGTTCTCTTGAGTTCTGTTGGTTTCATAAGTGTTTGACAGTTCCTCTTTCACATGCTCCCTTCTGCCACCTTGTGAAGAAGGTGCCTGCTTTCCCTTCTGCATTGATTACAAGTTTCCTGAGGCCTCCCCAGCCATGTGGAACTGTTAGTCAATTAAATCTCTTTCCTTTATAAATTACCCAGTCTTGGGTATTTTTTTTATAGCAGTGTGAAAATGGGCTAATACATCAAGCATGGGAATACTACGTGTCAATGCAGTCAACACTGATTCTGACACACCTCCTCCTTGCCCCCATTTTGTATTATAAGTTTTAATTAGGATCACTGACTCACTTCTCTTTGATTCAGTGATATTTAGATAACAAAATTGCCAGGTGACTCAATTTTCATTTCATTGAAACCAACTGTTTGCCCTGTAGAAGCACTTATCTCTTAGTCCTACAAGTTTCGAGTATATTGTCCCTAGAGTTGTAAGAAAATAAAGTCCTTAAGTGTGTTATTATTATTGGCTATAAATGTGAAGGGGCCCAATATACTTCTACCCTTTTTGTTGGTGTACCTGTGTAATCTGGCTATGTGGGAAATGGCAATACATATTGACCATTGATTTAAGGCTTAATATGTACCCTGTAGCACAGCACTTCAGCCTTTTAGAATGTTTTCTCCCAGTGTACTTTGTGAATGAGTCCTTACCATTATGCCTCATCATTCTATGGGAACTTGCACATGGTAAACAATTGAATACTTCGAGTATTAACCCATAGATGTACCTCTTTCATATAAAATATATCCTTTAGTCAAAGACAATATTGTGTGATAGACTAGGCACTCTGTAAGTCCAAAATAGTGATAATAGCATGAGCACTGAGTCACAAAAGGAAAATTCATATTCTAGTAACATATGTATTTCCTTGAGTACAACCCCTACCCCCTCCAACCCTCCAAGATAGAAACCATTCTATGTAATCAGCTTGCCATCACCAACCTGCACCTGGTGGCATGCTGTCTCCCTTCCATCCAGGAAATAGTGTCATACGGGCCTTAGTGTTAGCCCCTTGTAGGCATACAGATGATCCTTACACTCTGTGTCCATTCGAAAATGTTTATCCTCATACCTCTCTTCCAAACTGCCTTGCCAACAATCTTCTAATTTTGTTTTAGTCGAGATCCTGACCAATGTAGAACATTTTCTGAACTGTGTTATTGAATGGACACAACCAGGTACATACTCTTAACTTCACAAGACAAGATGATGTAATCTCTAGTCTTTCTTTCTTCTCTTCTCTTCCTCCATTCTTATGGCCTAAATATATATCTCCACTCAGGTTTCCAAAGCAACAAAACTTTGTGGAAACTTGACAAAATATCTATTTATTATATCTGAAACTATTCTCATATGAATAGGAAAATTATCTTCTCACTCTATTTTACAGTGCAAAAACATGATTGAATGATCGAGATAAAATGTTAGTCACAATTTCATGACGTGTTTTACCCAGAATCTGCCTGACATTAATTGCAGTATTTCTTTGTCATGCAGCTACATCTGCTGTATTCTGATCTCATCATAGCGGTGGATGAAGTGTGGCAAAATTTGTTTGTGTTTAGCTGATTAAAATTTGCTATAAAGATTCAGGCAATATGAGCTGTACACATTGATTTATGAATTTATCTACACACAGAAAAATATAACATTTGCTGTGTAAACCCTTAAAGGTTAGGAACCAGAATTTCTGTGGGTGAACACTAATGCATAACTATTGCCTGTGGAAAGTTGCTAAATAAAACGTTTACCAAATTACACTCACAAAGATGAATACACTTTTGCTTTTCTTTTCAGCCAATTATAATCTTTCAGTGATGAAATTGGAAACTATTTGAAATGAACTTTTCTATTATATAACATAATCAATAAATTTGCATGAGGATTAGAAATATAATGTTAATATTTCTTTACATTTGCTCTTCCTTAATGTAAACATGAACTTACTAATTATATAAATTTTATTGAAGAATTAAATAATCTTGTTAGTTGTTTCCTTGCTTCTAAAAATATAGTTACATTAATGAGACATCAAAACTCTCATTTGAGATTTGAAACCTGGTGTTTTATTTTGTCAGCAGGGAAAGGAGGAGGTACACTTCCTCCTTTTCATCTGTAAGCATGGATTAGAAATCTTGTAATTTTAAACAGCTCAGAATGTAAAGTTTTGGCATAGTCATCTAATTTTTTTACGAGACATTGCCTCTGGTTAACAGCAGTAAAATGTTAATTTAGTCTTTGATAGGACATATTTGCATTATAACTCAGAACAGTTTTGGTATATGCTAATTCTGAAATAAAAATGCTCTGATTAACGACTGAATCAATATAAAAACTACCAAATGTCTGAAATGGCAAAGCTGATCAAAGGTGCCATAATAGTATGACAATGCACAGTGTAAATGCATTCCCAGTGTTATATGTTAAGTGATTTCAGGGACTTATAAATAAAACATCTAATTGATAATATCTAAAAGCATGCACAGTATGCTATCTTCCATGAAATTACCTGCTTGTACACATTTTTGAACTATGCCAATGAATATTTTGAAATTTATTTTTCTAATATGCTTACTTTATTTTGCAGGTCATAAGTAAACCTGATGAGAAACATCAATTTTTTTCAGTGTTTGCTGGTTAGGTTCATATAACAAATTTTAAAAATAGATTGTTATAATAAGAAAATAAGGATAACAGTAAAATAAATTTCTCCTACCTTAAGCCTGTGGATATGCTAAGCATGATCTGTTTTTATTGCTATTAAATTCTTGCATTGTAAGTGTAGGAAGGCACTGATAGCCTACATATCTAGTTTTTAAAAAAAATTTAAATAAATGTACAGCTCACACTTACATTTACTATATTTTCCCTATATTGTGTTATGCTTCAGTTTCATAATCCTCATTCATGATTATTTCATGGTCATTCAGAGTATACTTTAACTCTAGCTGATTTCCTGAAACATTGTGATCATCAATGGTTGCTAGCTTTATTTACTTAAATTCTACTGATAGAATTTAACCTTAAATAAATTCTTCTACTGATAGAAGTCTGAACCTTAAATAAAACACTTTAACACTGGATATTTTTGCATGAGGCAAATGTTTCTATAACATTGAATATGTCATGTTCCTGGCTCACCCACTCTTTTTTAGAGATTTCTATTGGGTTATACATTTATGTTTAGTGGTTATCTCCACATCAGCCAGTATATTCAATTTTACAATGTTATAGTAAGCTTCACAAGCACTCTTGGTAAGGATATTCTAGTATAAAGTATTATGCAATCTGTTTGTCGATTGGCTTCACTGTCAGAGACAGTTAGAATCTCATTCCTCTTGTCAGCATCCTCACTAAGAATAATTTATCTGAGGACAGTGATAACTGCATGTGCTCAAATTATCAGAGGGCATGACAAATAAATGACATATGTAATTTGTGAAAGTTGAACTAACTAATGAGCTATGAACAGGACCTAAAGGTCTATATATGCATTTTTTTGTAGTATCTGGGCTTATAGCATTAATAAAGTTTTACTTCAATTTACTTAGCATATTTTTCTGAATAGCTCAAAGTGATTTTAAATTTGTTCACTACCTGACTTTTTACTCATTTCTACCCTTCTCAGAACATAAATTGGTGATAAAACATCTAATAGAATCATATATTCTATGTATTATAATACATAGAGCTCTCATTTTTCTTCTAAATATATTTTTATATGATTTATTATATACATGAATATCTTGTTTTTAATTTTAAATAGAACCATTGAAGACCAGAAGAGTGAAGCACCATGACTGTACATTTTGTAGGATTATTATTTTTAATTACTCAGTGTTTACTCTGTTTATAAAGATTATCTTTTTTTCATATTATAAATTGCTTCAATTTTACAATCCTTCTAAAAACATTATGTCCAAAATTTTAACTTGCGACTTAGCACAATGGCAAAATTTTCACATTTGCATCTGTTATCACTGTTTCCTAAGCAGTAACCAGAAGTAGCAACTAATAGGACAACTGAATGAAGCACAAAGAAAACGCATGTCTTTAGCAGGAAAGCTGACAGCAAAAACAATGTGAGTTGTCTCACAGAGCAGCTACATCTGCATCAAAAGAGGCTTAGACACTTTCTGATATTGAAGGGATAAACAGAGAAATATTCCCTAACCACAGACTGCTCTCTCATTGTCGACCAGACTTAGGCCAAAAGGATCAAATTTATGGGAAATAAGCTATTAAAAATATCTGGCATTGATTCTGGAAACACCCTTACTAAATTCTTGATAAGTATGTTTGGAAAGAGAGGGAATATTGAAGATGAGGTGATGTCACTTGTGTCATTCCCTATGTTGGTACCAACCCAGAAATGCCTTACAGATGTCTCTTGCCAACTTGAAAGAAGCTGGTTCTCTACACTTGTTAAAATATAACACATGGTAGTTGTTTGAAGTCATGGAAGCTTATTTAGCAGAACAATGAGTAGTACTGGCTGCCAATCTCATGAGCATATTTAATGGAGAGGATAATCTTGAATTAAATAGCTGTGTATTTTTGCACTACTTCATTTGGTTCCATATGGAAAGAAAACATATGGGCTGAGAAGTAGCCAGGAGTTGCATCATGTACAAGTGTACATACATTTCAAAACCCTGCATGAAATAATTTCAAACTAAGTCTCAGTGTCATAGCATTCAAGGGTATGGAAATATCAAGGGCCATCTAAATGTTTCCAGACATTCTGTGACAAGCTATATTCTTGTTTAAATCTAAGTAAACTTCAAGAATTTTAATACACTCTCATATGCCTATTAACATTTAAAAGCGACAGTGGAATAAAAGTTTAAAAAACAAAAAACAAAATTGGACCTAAATGACAAGCCTGAAATTAGAAACTTATTGCCTTGTCTCTCCTAAGTTGCAATATGTGTTATGGGAGACAGCTGCAAATCTCAGAGCCAGCTATGACTATGACCTTTTCACTGTCTCTCATTTGAAGTTATGGTTGTGTGGTAAATGTTTTATGGACTTCAAATCAGACTACTGATTGATGTGTGTGGATGCATTCCATTTCTGTCTTATCTTGTGATACAATTAGGACTAAAGTACCAAAGGAGGCCGAGAGGAGGGTGATGGCTTGGGGACCTAAACAGACTCGTCCCCTGAGGCAGTTAAAGGGCTGGAGAGCAGACCCAAGTTAGCACTGAGGGTACTCCATGGTGCTGACAGAATAGCATATGAATGTTGTCAGGGTGGAAGTTGGCAGATGGTATTGGCAAATCTGTTAAGAGTTGAGTGTGGGACACCGAGAAGCAAATTAGCAGGCAGAGCCCTGCATGAAAAATTGTGGGAGATGTAACACTAGATTATAGAAGCAGGCAAACAGGCCTCTCAAAGGTAGTCTGTTAGGAGATACCAAGACCTCATTCTTATTTTGGATTCAAAGGAAATATTTCACATGTGGTAGGAATCCTGGCAACACAAAGACCAGGTTCTAGATCTTCATGCCTTTTATCCAAGACAGAAATTTATACACAAGGAAATAAAACAGTAATCTAAAGCCAAAGCTGAATTAATTACCTGACAAGGTGACTTTATAGTAATGGCAGTTATCAATTATGCCTTATGTTAAACATGATCCCTTTTGATAAACATAGTCCCTTAATGAAACAGGACTATGTGAGAGGAAATTGGAAAAATTGGAAGAATTTTATAAAGGTCTCAACATTTTCTCAGCTGCAAAATGGATATAATAAAGCTTCCCCAACTTACCTTATGTAATTGTGAGAATTTCAAAAACTTAATGCATTCTACATATGATTCTTTACTCACATTTTCTTGTGGTAAAGGCTGACAGATGTTCATCAATGTCTTTTTTTCTCTTCTTTTAATCTTATTAGCATGTTGGGTTTCTATCCCTGCTCTGCACTTACGTGTGTTGGCAATAGATCTAGTGAAGAAGTGATAAGAGCCACTTGTGGACCAAGAATTTAAGAAACAGGTATTCCTCCTCTAAGTTCTGTTCCTTTCTCTTAGATGCATGTGGATGGTAACCAGAGTCTAAAGGATAGTGGGTGGAAGGAAGGAGGCTACATCCTTAAATCACTATATGTAAACGATCCATACAGCATACACAACCACACTAGACCGTGGATAGGGGAGCAAGAAAGAAACTTCTACTTTTCCTAATGCATGTTTGGATTTGTTAGAGTGATTTCAGCACGTCTACTTTAATAAGCCTCTGGATATTTCAGACTCAAATGTTAGTAAAATTTTCTGTCATTGCCTTTATATCTATTTTTCTAAAGTGCAGTATCTTCTATCTTCACAGTTCACTACACCAGCTTTCTCTTCACTAAATTGCAGCCCTTTGCTGCTCAATCTCATAATCTGCTGTTTTTTTACATCCTACAGATTATTGATATATTACATATTATTTTGTTTTGTATTTTTTTACCTATTTATTTTGTGTGTTTTATTGGTATGTATTATTTATATGAATTAAAAAACAAACTTTAACCTACCAAGTAAAATATTCATTTGGCATCAAGTATTTATTCATAGGAACTATATATAAAAATAAATATAGAAATTTATATTAATCTATTTATATAAATCTATCTCAAAGAAGATAAATGTTAACATGAATGAGGGTTTTGGTGAACTGAAATTTACCAAGTGTGGCTATGACTTCTGTCTTTTTCCCCAGTAGTAGATTTAATGCATTTTCAAATAATATACCTCTTTTACTGTCCTTATAAATAAAAATATAAATATGCAAATAAAAATATTTCTAATTTGTTGTTCTCCATGACCGATTCACATTTACACAAAATATTTTATTTAGTTTTCCTGCGCAATCATTTAAAATTTACCTTTACCAACTATCAAGCTCACACCTCTAATCCTAGCACTTTGGGAGTCTGAGGCAGGCAGATCACAAGGTCAGGAGATCGAGACCATCCTGACTAACACGGTGAAACCCTGTTTCTACTAAAAATACAAAAAAAAAAAAAAAATTAGCCAGGCATGGTGGCATGTATCTGTAGTCCCAGCTACTCAGGAGGCTGAGGCAGGAGAATCGCTTGAACCTGGGAGGCGGAGGTTGCAGTGAGCTGAGATCGCACCACTGCACTCCAGCCTGGGTGACAGAGTGAGACTCCATCTCAAAAAAAAAAAAAAAATCCGTTTTCTACAAAAACCTACTGTTTCTATCATGGTTTAGGAAGTGGAATGCTAATTATTGCTTATAAGTGTTTTACATCGCAAGCTTCTCTTTCAGTTTCCCTCTGTACGAAGCTGGGAAAGCCTCCACTTAGAAAATTGTTCAACTTGGAGAGTACATATCCTATAACCTGACGATAAGCTATAGAAAAAATATCTTTTCAGGATTCAAAATAAGAAATATGGTGTTGGATAGAGACATAAGTTGTCAAAAACCTGCCATATCTCTAATCAGAGACATTTAAAAGTGACATGTGAGACAGATGTCCAAATGACAGTATGATGATTCACCTTGATAGGTCTCTAATCTTACTCTCTCCAGTATATATCCTAAAGCCTATGTAACTTGACTATATTTCTTTAACTGCTAGGAGATGTGCTTCCACAGAAATGTAATGTAATTGTATATCCATGAATTTTATTGGCAATTGATACAAGAAATGGCCACATAAAGCCAATTTTTATTCTTTATGTAACTGCTCCAGAGGATATTGAAAAACATTCTTTACAGAGAAATCAACACCATAAATTCACTTAGCATTTAGAAAAAAAGCATTTTCCTCCCAAAGATAATGAGACCTGGATAGTTCATATTTCTAGTTCTTGGTTGCCAGTATTCTCAGGGTACATTATTTCTAAATTATGAAACCATGACATATATCCAAAATTCTGATTCAGTGTTTTTCTTTGTATTGTTAATATTGTTTTACTTATGATATAGGATTATTGTAACTTTAAATGATTTTGTTTTTGTTTATTATGTATTATTCAAATTTATAGTATAGATTTCAAATGATAAGTAATATTTTGAATATGTTAGAAATATTAACTAATGGATTAGAATATAGCAAGGCATTTATATATAATATATATTTACATAGATACAGATAGAAATAAAAACAATTATATATATAGTCATGCATTGCACAAACATTGGAATACATTCTGTGAAATGTGGTATTGGGCAACTTTTTCATTGTGCAAAAATCAGAGTGTACTTATATAAACCTGAATAATCCAGCCTACTACACACTTAGGCTATTGCTCCTAGGCTACAAACATGCACAGCACGTTACTGTACTAAATGATGTAGGCAATTGCAATGCAATCGTATTTGTATGTCTAAACACAGAAAAGATATAGTAAAAATATGGTATAAAAGATGAAAAAATGGTACATCTGTTGTATTAGTCAGGGTTCTCTAGAGGGACAGAACTAATAGGGTAGATATAAACATAGAAAGGGACAACTGACTGTATTAGTAAATTTTTATGCTGCTGATAAAGACATACCTGAGACTGGGCAATTTACAAAAGAAAGAAGTTTAATGGACTTACAGTTCCACGTGGCTGGGAAGGCCTCACAATCATGGCAGAAGGGGAAAGACACATATCACATGGTGGCAGATAAGAGAAGAGAGCTTTTGAAGGAAAACTCCAGTTTTCAAAAACCATCAAATATTGTGAGATGTATTCACTGTCATGAGAACAGCATGGGAAAAACTCACCCCCATAACTCAATTACTACCCACCAGCTTCCTCCCATGACACATGGAAATTGTGGGAGTTATAATTCAAGATGAGATTTGGGTGGGACACAGCCAAACTATATCACATGTGTATAGCACTTACCATGAAATGAGCTTGCAGGACTGGAAGTTGCTCTAAGTAAGTCAGTGAGTGAGTGGTGAATAAACGTGAAACCCTAGGACATCACTGTGCACCACTGTAGATTTTATAAACTTAGGCTATACTAAATTTATTAAAAATACTTTTTTCTTCCATAATATATTAACCTTAGCTTACTATAACCTTAGCTTACTATAATAGTTTAAAATTTTAAAACTATTTTACTCTTTTGTAATAACAGCTTAAAACACACATTTTATAGCTGTACAAAAATATTTTTATATTCTTATTCTGCAAGCTTTTTTCTATTCTTATTTTTTTAACTTTTTGAAAAATTTCATTAAAAACTAAGACACAAATACACATCTTATCCTAGGCCTACACAGGATCTGGATCATTAAATCACTGTCTTCCACCTCCATTATCTTGTCCCACTGGAAGGTCTTTGGAGGCAATAACAAGCATGCAGCTGGCATCTCTTGTGATAACAATGCCTTCCTCTGGATTAACTACTGAAGGACCTGCCTGTAGTTACGATTAACTTTTTAAAAAATAGATATAAGAAGTATACTCTAAAATAGCAATAAAAAGTAACTCTAATAAATACATAAATCAATAACATAGTCTTATTATCATTATCAAGTATTGTGAACTGTACATAATTGTTTGTGTTATGCTTTTATATGACTGGCAGCTCAGTAGGTTTGTTTACACCAGCATCACCAAAACATATGAATCATGTTTTGCAATACTGCTTCAGAGGGCTATAACATCACTAGGTGATAGGAATTTTTCAACTCTATTATAATCTTATGGAACCGTCATCATATATGTAGTCTGTGGTTGACCAAAATGTCATTATGTGGCATGACTGTAATAGTGTTCACAAAAGTAGGTTTATAAAATACAATTTTATTTTTAGCATTATTCATATAACATTGACACAAGATAATTTTTAATTCATTTCTACGGATTTCATCACACCTTATCTCATGAATGAATCATTTTTAATGTACCAATTTCCAAATCGTTGGCTATTTTTCCTTCAATGTTGTGTTACATGAAATGTGGTAATGAACATCACCATCCATCAATTTTTTGTGCTAGATTATTTCTTTAGACATATTTTTATAGGTAAAACTACAGGGCCAAAAACTTTAAATGCTTTGAACTTCTTGAAACACAATACAAATTTAATTTATATAAAATTATATATTCATATTGTAAGGGTTAATATCTGAGATGTATCACTTCATATTTTCTACAACTTTGATTATTACAATTTTTAAAACTTCTAAAATACTTCACTGATCTTTTCAATAATATTTTGTCAACTACTAGTGACATTTCACATGCTTTCTGGTGTTGCTGGTGATCTTTTATCTCCTTACGTAAATCCTTATGCATTTTCTGCCATTTTCATTTGAGTTTCACTCTTATGCTTTTTTATTTAAAAAAATTTATATATTAGTGAAAATAATCTTCTTTCTTATCTACTACAAATATTTCCAAGTCTGTGATTTATATCAAAATGTATACTTTATTTTTGGTGCAACAATGTTTACATATTTAAATATATTAGTTATATTTATTCTGTTTTCAGCTCAACAATTTCCTCTGCCTTGAAGCCTTTTTCCAGCATACCTCAGCTTACAATGATTTTTCATATGTGATTGAATTCACTATAAGCATTTTCCCTTATTCAATGGTTAATTGCAGACTGCTTTTAAATGTTTCACATTTTATACATATTCACATTTGTCATTTTATTTATACTTTGATTTTACCACTAAATATTGAATTTTATTTAGTATATAAATTATTTATATTTTATTTTATTATTATGTTTCACCCCTTTCACAGTGAATAGCACACGACCTTGCCCATGCAGTTATTTAGTAGGAATTTCTTACAGATTTCTTAATTTTTTGCATATAGTAGGTGAAACAGATATTTTATACACAGTTTTCTTTTAAAAACTCTTGATTATTTATATAATCCATGGATGGCATTATCTAGTTCAGTGGCTTTCTATACAAATATACCTGTAGCTGTACTTTACTTTAATCCATTAGGGATGCTATGCTTTAGGAATGGTTTAGTAATATCCTTAAACATGCCTTACCTTGACTAGGCTATTACTTGAGCAATAAAAGAAGAGCAGACTTTGCCAAAATAAAATATTGAGTGTAAACTGTATCCCAGATAAGATGAAATAAGTATTAATAATGAAACTTGGGCTTATAATTTAAATCCTCTAGGGCATTTTGTGAATGTGCATGATTAATTCTGTTTATGAAATTTTGTTGCTTTTTACTGAAAACAAAATTTGAAACTTTCAAGGTTCAGTAACTAAACCTTGAGGGTAATAACATATGCAGTCTGTGCTCACTGTGCAATAGTATAACTTTTTTTTTTAAAATCTCAATTTTCTTCTAGGGTATTTTTTGATTGAGATATCTCTCTCCCTGCTAGAGTTGCAGGTGGAATTACCTTCCTGCTAAAGAAAACCTAGCTCTTTACAACTGGCTCTTTGTTGAAACTAAGTAAAGAAATTTAACGATTAAAAATAAATAATAAATTTGAAAGAACAAAATTAAGATTGTCACCAGTAAGATTATGTTTACAGAGACTCTCCAGTCCTAATAAATAATATTAGATAAGACTCTAATAACTTTGACCAGTATTCTTCCTGATTAAATTTGAAGCGAATCACCTAAATTTTTGATGTTTAATGACTCTGTATTAATTCTCTTCATTCCTAGGAAAAGTAGGAGGATAAGGGTAAACATTTAAAATTGTACACAAATAAAAAAATGGACAAAGTTGTTTTTAAAAGTGGAACTCCTATCCTCAAAGAGCATATTTTAATTACCAAAACAAGTTCTAGTATTTGATATTACAGTAGGAAAATTACTGTAACAAAACATGTGTTAACAACACATGTGTTACCTTGCCTTGGCCTTACAGTACAGTAGGGGAATTATAGCTAACAACCGTTTATAATATATTTCAAAGTATCTTGAAAAGAAGAAGTATAATGTTCTCAACACAAATAAATAATAAATGCTTGAGGTTATGTATATCCCAATTTCCCTTATTTCACCATCACACATTGTATACAGGTATCAAAATAGCACGTGTATCCCCAAAACATATACATTAGATATCAATTAAAAAGTAAACAGTTGTACTGCTATGAGATCAGAAAGACAGTCTGCTAAGGTTTTGTTTGTTTTTGTTTTTTCCCTAGGGTTTGGGTAGAAAATATGCAAAGCCTAATGGTGATCTTTAAAGGTTACCTGTAATGTCACAGAATAACTCCAAGTTGAAAAAGAAAGCTTAAGTAATAGCCTGGAAAATAGTTCATATAATTTATCAATATAGATTAAAAAGATTTGTCATAATTTGTTTCCTATCATTCACCCTCTACTTCTTTCATCCTAAAAGCACACAAATGATTTTCAGAAGCCTATGCTCCTACAATATAATGCATGCCTCATTGAATCTGATATTATAATTGGTTCTTGAGTGGGTCTCAGTTATCAAAACCAATTGTAATCAAATCCCATATTCTTGGCCAATGATTATTTAAAGAAATTAGATGAAAACAAAGCAACAACTAGTTGGTTCTCATGAGCACATCACATTACTGGTTCAATGACATTGTACAAAATGACATTCATTTTATCTCTTGGGGTTCTAGTTGTTGATGGCAGTAATCTTGTTTTTTCTTGGAGACAGAGTGAGAACGTTCAGAAGTGAATGGAACCAAGAGAATCAAGAGACATAAAGTCAGTGCTGTGTTTTCCCTTTTCCTTCTGTGGATTTGTCTATGATGTAAAATGATTGCATTAGTCAGGGTTCTCCAGAGAAACATAACCAGTAGAAGATGTGAGAATGAGATAAATTATTTTAAAAATTGGCTCATGCAATTGTGGAGGCTGGCAAGCCACCCAGAGAAAAGTTGATATTGCAGTCTTGATCCTAAAGGCAGTGTAGAGGCAAAATTTCTGATGTCCTCTTAGGGACATGAGTCTTTTGTTTTAAGGTCTTCAACTGACTGAATGAGGCCCACCCACATTATGAAGGGTAATCTGCCTTACTCAAAGTATGCTGACTTAAAAGTTAATTACATGTAAAAAATACTTTCATAGGAACATCTCAACCAGGATTTGACCAAATAACTAGGTACTAAAGCCTAGCCAAGTTGACACATAAAATTAACCATCACAATGACTCTTCTTAGTTTGAAGCCACTTTGAGTTGAGATTTTTGATATTTCCAAAAGCCTCCTAACTAATATTATGAAAAAGCAGGAGAGAAACTTGACAGCAAACAAGAGTAAAAATGGATAAATAAATACGAGACACAAAAGGAATGAGTTGACTGATGATTTGCAGTCTGTTTCAATATCCCTTGCATTATATTTCTGTAAAATTCATAAGACTGTAGATTTTCTTCCAATTTTTGTACAAGTGTAGAAATTTCTATTATATGAAAACATTAGAAAAACAAGATTACCTTGTTTCGTATCCAGATATGTAGTTGTATCAATTTAGTAAGGAAACTCATTCAATTGATTCTGATATTTAATTATCATATTAATACATCTTATAAATTTTATATGGCTTGACCTGGGTGGAAGATAGACATAGGCAAGAACGATTATGTTGTTATTTAATCCACTAGACTCTTGTTCTGCACATTTCTTTTGTTCAGCATTAACTTTTAAAAATATACATACTTTATAGGAGAACAATAATCCTGACTCTGTTTCTGGGAAAATCCTTCCAGCAGAATGTAATGCTACATGATGATTGAAATCTTGTCTATAATGAAATAGTTGGATCATGTCCTTATGAACCTATGATCTCAGAATAAGGGTAACAGAATAAGATGATTCACTGTTTCACATGTAAATCTGTGAATATGAAGTCTAAATAATGACTCCCTTTATGAAAGGAAGAGAAAGATATCCTCAAATATTTTAGTGGTCAGAAACTAAAATAACCGTGTCCTTAAAAAAAATTAATTAAAGGCGTTCCTCAGCTAACAATAAGATAAATCAAAATAAAAAAGCCAAAGAGAAATGTTGTTATCCAAAAGCTACCAGGGAAAATTAATATTGGTTAAACACAAAACTATATAAGTAATTATCATATAAAATTAAAGTTGGATGTATTGAAAGAGATATCAATTTTTGAATAATATGATAAAATTTTAAAATAATTTTAGACTTTATTTTTAGTAATATCTTCCCTATACATGCAGTCATAACTTGCTATGGAAGCTGGGCTTTTTATATAATCTACATAATTTAAGAAATAGTTTCCAATATATAAACATATACATTTGTCCCCGATTTTTCAATCACTGAATCAATTTATTTGTATTCCTATTATAAATTTATCTCTTTTCCAGTAAATATTTTTATTCCTACTGTAATTTCTCTCTTTCCCATTAACTATAACACATATGTTAGGATCTTTTTTTAAACATCATGACATTTTTGCTTCAAAATTTCATAAATCTATCAATCAAAAAAGTTACAACTTTTAATGATATCAAATAGAATACCATTATATAGAATATTGTATAGTCCACTCTTATGTACTTCTTTTATAAGTTCTTGATCCATAACATAACTATTTCTGGACAAAATAAAGAGGGTGTTTATATAAGCAATAGCAGCAGGAATGGAATTTTCCATGCAAGATTTCCTAGGATTTCCCATGTTGTTCATAAAATCTGATGAATTATACTTTTAAACTTATAATTCTCATATAAAACTATTAGAAGCTCCTATACCCTACTTATGCTCTTTCTTCAAAAAAGTGGAGGTATAAATTAAGTTTCCTATTGTAATGGGTACTCAAAGACTCTTTCTATCAACCAGGGTCTTCTTGTGTTTACACAGGAAGGACAAAAGTTTCCTATGATAGGTCACATACAATAAAATGCCTTATTCAAGTTTGACATAACAGGTCAAAGTAAAAATATGGCAGGTCCTTCTGCGGGTATATTTTTATATTAAATCAACTTAATTTTTCCTGGAAAATTGTAATTAAGAAATCTAAATAACCCTTTTAATTCCTTTTGTAAGTAAAATGATATTGGCAAAGCAAAGACAATCATAGGCCAATTACCATCATTTAGCGTTTCCTGAGCTAAATATTGACAGATAAGAGAGGATCTTGCTTGTAACAGAGGCCTTTGTTTAATATGCAAATTTCGATATAAATTTCCCACATGTACTGACTACTTAATTTTATGTACCTATTCATTATCAGAATTATATTTAATTATTAAATATGATTAATCTTCTTTTTGCAGTTGAAGTAATTTGACAGTAAGTGACTTTTCCTGGATAAAACATCAGTTTACAAAGATGTACAATTAGATTTTGGTACACCTAGGGTAATCAAGAAGAATTTTTAGTTTCAAAGGCTTTTTTCTGTGTTTACTGAAGTGCTAGGTATCTTATAAAATTTTAGACTTCTAATGCTACTAAGCCAGAAGTTCAAAAACTTGGTCTATAGGTCTATAGGTAGCTTTACTATACAAAGAGACAAACATTGGCAGTCAACACAGAGTAGTACTTATGTAGTCAGATCAGTTTTAAAATAGGCAGAATAAAAAGTACGTAAGTAAGTGGTATTGAAGAAAACATCATAATGCCCAAATTTCCTTTTGGTTAAAACATTACCTTAGTAAATTCCATTAAAAGCAGCCGAGATCGCGCCACTGCACTCCAACCTGGGAGACACAGCGAGACTCCGTCTCAAAAAAAAATAAAAAAATAAAAAAATAAAAAAAAATAAAAGCAGCCATATCAAGTCTGAGGAATGATTCAGATCAGTTCTCTCAGCATGAAGATTAAAGATTTTAATTACTCAACTCTTCTTTCCTATCTTCTGGCTAATATATATAATGAGTCAAATGGCGAATTAAATATTATTATTGGTAGTTCGATAATCCCAGAAGAATGGAACCTCCCTACTGGCTGAATGGGAATATAGAGTTCAAAGTAAGCGACTACCTCTAATCTAGGCTTTGGAATTAACCTATAAAGAGAGCTGAGCCTACAAAGTGGATTTTAGGTTTGCATGTGCATCTTATATGCCTTAGAAACCCAGTCACTAGCAACACAGAGAGTACAAGAATGATACAGTTAGTGAAAGACTTTACTGTTATAAAGAATGAAAACTGCATCTCAGAAAATATACTCTCCCCAATCAAATTAGATTAGCTGTTTAAGGGGAAGGAATGGGTAATTAGATACAGAGACAAACCATTAGACTTCATTCTGATATCCCTTATATTCTCAGTGGCAATCTCCACTCTAGCCTGTGGAAACATCTTAAAAACCTTAAAATAACAATAACAAGAACAACACTAGTATTGTTTTTCTTGTTATTATTTTGTGTACCTATTAAGCAACTTATAATCACATAAACTGCAGTTTTCAAAGGAATGTCCTGAGATATAAAATTGGCTGCCTATACATGTGAAAACAGAACAAAAGTCCAGCCTAAAACAAAAAGTAAAACTCTTTCCATCTCTACTCTTTATCACTTAAAATTGAGTAAGATAATTGAAGTCAACAGTAGTTAGTGTAACGAGCAAAGCTGACAATGCACAAGTTAAGCAAGTTTTGTAGTGAGCAAATTTGAAAAGTTTACTCAGGACTCAGAAAACTAGGCTAAGATTTGAAAATGAGACAGAAGCTGATAGAAAAAAAAAACAGATGTTTTTGAAAATGAAATTGAGAATATGGAACATAATTATCTGTTGAATTAATTACAGGATATCCACAGCTCTATGCACATTGACACAATGTTGAAATTAAAATTCAACAGAAATTATCCTATAAGCATTTATATTGACAAAAAATCTAGAAATAACCAGCTATAAGATTTTCTACTCAGACAATAAATATTAGAAGAAAATGAGTTTCTGCTCCAAGAAATGTATATCCAGATAAATTTCCATTTATGAAAGCAAGAGAAAGATATCCTCAAATATTTTGGTAGTCAGAAAGTAAAATAACCACATCCTTAAAAATTATTAATTAAAGTGTTTCCTCAGCTAACAATAAGGTAAATCAAATAAGAAAGCCAAAGAAAAATTTTGTTATCCAGAAGCTACCAGGGAAAATTAATATTGGTTAAACACAAAACTATATAAATAACTATAATATAGAATTAAAGTTGGATGTATTGAAAGAAAATATACTAATTTTTAAATAATAATTTCATAAAAACTTGTTTTTTTGTGAACACAATTTTATCTCATTTTTACATTGGCAAATAATACTGTATGTGGTTACCATAGACAACATATTGTTTTGAAGTGTATATATACATCGTGGAATTACCAACTCCAGCTAATTAGCATATGCATTACCTCACATAATTATCATTTTTGTAGTAAGAATACATTACATCTACTCTCTCAGCATTTTTAAGAATACAATATATTTTTTACTGTGGTCACAAGATATCTATTTTGTGGTTGTAAAATATTGTATTCTAAAGCCCAAGTGCATACATCTATTTTACAGTTGTAAAATAGATGTCTTGAGCTTATTCTTCCTATCTAATGAAGTTTTGTAGCCATTGACTAATGTATCTTCAACCACCCATATCACACACACAACCTCACCAGCCCCTGGCAACCTCTAGTCAGCTTTTCTTCTACAAGATCAACTATTTTAGATTTCATATATGAGTGAGATTATGCAGTATTTGTCTTTCTTTGCATGGTTTATTTTAATTAACATAAGGTCCTTCAGGTTCATTTATGTTGTCACAAATAACAGGATTTTCCTTCTTTTTGTGGCTGAATAGTATTCCATGGTGTTTATGTACCACATTTTCTCTAGCCATTGATCCACTAATGGACACTTGGATTAATCCCATATCTGGTTATTGCAAATAATGCTGCAATAAACATGAGAGTGCAGTTACCCTTTCAGCATACTGAATTCTGTTTCTTCAATATATATACTCCATAGTGAGATTGCAGAATGTGGTAGTTCTATTTTAAAAATTTTGAGGAACCTCCATACCATTTTTCATAATGGCTGTACTAATTTACCTTCCCACCAACAGTATGCTAGGGTTGACTATTTTTCTTTATTTCTTATTTATTTATTTATTATACCTTAAGTCTTGGGGTACATGTGCAGAATGTGGAGGTTTGTTACATAGGTATACACGTGCCATGGTGGTTTGCTGCATCCATTAACCCATCATCTACATTAGATATTTCTCCGAATGCTATCCCTCCCCTAGACCCTCACACCCAATAGGCCCTGGTGTGTGAGGTTCCCCTCCCTATATCCATGTGTTCTCATTGCTCAGCTCTCACTTATGAGTGAGAACATGCGGTGTTTGGTTTTCTGTTCTTGTGTTAGTTTACTGAGAAATGATGGTTTCCAGCTTCATCCATGTCCCTGCAAAGGGCATGAACTCATCCTTTTTTATGGCTGTATAGTATTCTATGGTGCATATGTGCCACATTTTCTTTATCCAGTCTATCATTGATGGACATTTGGGTTGGTTCCAAGTCTTTGCTATTGTGAACAGTGCCACAATAAACATACATGTGCATATGTCTTTATAGTAGAATGATTTATAATTCTTTGGGTATATACCCAGTAATGGGATTGCTGGGTCAAATGGTATTTCTAGTTCTAGATCCTTGAGGAATTGCCACACTGTCTTTCACAATAGTTGAACTAATTTATACTCCCATCAACAGTGTAAAAGTGTTCCTATTTCTCCACATCCTCTCCAGCATCTGCTGTTTCCTGACTTTTTAATGATTGCCATTCTAAATGGTGTGAGATGGTATCTCATTGTGGTTTTGATTTGATTTTCTCAAATGACCAGTGATGATGAGCCTTTTTTCTTATGTTTGTTGGCTGCATAAATGTCTTCTTTTGAGAAGGATCTGTTCATATCCTTTGCCCACTTTTTGATGGGGTTTTTTTTCTTGTAAATTTGTTTAAGTTCTTTGTAGATTCTGGATATTAGCCCTTTTTCAGATGGATAGATTGCAAAAATTTTCTCCCATTCTGTAGGATGCCTGATCATTCTGGTGATAGTTTCTTTTCCTGTACAGCTCTTTCGTTTAGTTAGATCCCATTTGTCTATTTCGGCTTTTGTTGCCATTGCTTTTGGTGTTTTAGTCATGAAGTCTTTGCCCATGCCTATGTCCTGAATATTATTGCCTACATTTTCTTGCAGGATTTTTATAGTTTTAGGTTGTATGTTTAAGTCTTTAATCCACCTTGAGTTAATTTTTGTGTAAGGTTTAAGGAAGGGATCCAGTTTCAGCTTTCTGCATATGGCTAGCTAGTTTTCTCAGCACCATTTGTTAAATAGGGAATCCTTTACTCATTGCTTGTTTTTGTCAGGTTTGTCAAAGATCAGATTGTTGTAGATGTGTGGTGTTATTTCTGAGGCCTCTGTTCGGTTCCATTGGTCTATATATCTGTTTTGGTACCAATACCATGCTGTTTTGGTTACTGTAGCCTTGTAGTATAGTTAGAAGTCAGGTAGTGTGTTGCCTCCAGCTTTGTTCATTTTGCTTAGGATTGTCTTGGCTATGTGGGCTCTTTTTTGGTTCCATATTAAATTTAAAGTAGCTTTTTTTCCAATTCTGTGAAGAAAGTCAATGGTAGCTTGATGGGAATAGCATTGGATCTATATATGACTTTGGCAGTATGGCCATTTTCACAATATTGATTCTTCCTATCCATGAACATGGAATGCTTTTCCATTTGTTTGTGTCACTCTTCTTTCCTTGAGCAGAGGTTTGTAGTTCTCCTTGAAGAGGTCCTTCACATCCCTTGTAAATTGTATTCATAGGTATTTTATTCTCTTTGTAGCAACTGTGAATGGAAGTTCATTCATGAATTGGCTCTCTGTTTGTCTGTTATTGTTGTATAGGAATGCCTGTGTTTTTTGCACATTGATTTTGTATCCTGAGACTTTACTGAATTTACTTATCAGCTTAAGGAGCTTTGGGGCTGAGATGATGGGATTTTCTAAATATACAATCATGACATCTGAAAACAAATGGGCTGTGGGTTTGTCCTTAATAGCTCTTATTATTTGAGATACATTCCACCAATACCTAGTTTATTGAGAATTTTTGGCATGAAGGGGTGCTGAATTCTGTCAAATGCCATTTCTGCATCCATTGAGATAATCATATGGTTTTTGTCATTGGTTCTGTTTATGTGATGGATTACGTCTATTGAATTACATATGTTGAAACAGCCTTGCATCCCAGGGATGAAGTCGACTTGATCACGCTTGATAAGCTTTTGGATGTGCTGCTGGATTCGATTTGCCAGTACTTTATTGAGGATTTTTGCATTGATTTTCATCAGGAGTATTGGCCTGAAATTTTCTTTTTTTGTTGTGTCTCTGCCAGATTTTGGTATCAGGATGAGCTGGCCTCATAAAATGGTTAGGGAGGATTCCCTCTTTTTCTATTGTTTGGAATAGTTTCAGAAGGAATGGTACCAGCTCCTCTTTGTACCGCTGGTAGAATTCAGCTGTGAATCCTTCTGGTCCTGGACGTTTTTTTGGTTGGTAGGCTATTAATTACTGCCTCAATTTCAGAACGTGTTATGGGTCTATTCAAGGATTTGACTTCTTCCTGGTTTAGTCTTGGGAGGGTGTATGTGTCCAGGAATTTATCCATTTCTTCTAGATGTTCTAGTTTATTTGTCTAGAGGTTTATAGTATTCTCTGATGGTAGTTTGTATTTCTGTGGGATTGGTGGTGATATACCCTTTATCATTTTTACCCTTTATCATTTTTTATTGCATCTATTTGATTCTTCTCTCTTTTCTTCTTTATTTGTCTAGCTAGCAGTCTATATTTTTTATCTTTTCAAAATCCACCTGCTGGATTCATTGATTTTTGAAGGGTTTTTCATGTCTCTCTCTCCTTCAGTTCTGCTCTTATCTTAGTTATTTCTTGTCTTCTGCTAGCTTTTGAATTTGTTTGCTCTTGTTTCTCTAGTTCTTTTAATTGTGATATTAGGATATCAATTTTAGATCTTTCCTGTTTTCTCTTGTGGGCATCAGTGCTAGAAATTTCCTTCTGCACATTGCTTTAAATGTGTCCTAGAGATTCTGGTATGTTATGTCTTTGTTCTCTTTGGTTTCAAAGAACATCTTTATTTTTGCCTTCATTTCATTATTTACACAGTAGTCATTCAGTAGCAGGTTGTTCAGTTTCGATGTAGTTGTGCAGTTTTGAGTGACCTATTTGTTTTTTAGAAGCATGCTATTTAATTTTCATGTATTTGTGAATTTTCCCATGTTTCTCCTGTTACTTATTGTTTTATATTATTGTGGCCAAAAGTATATTTGATATAATTAAATTTTCTTAATTTTGTTTATATCTGCTCTATGGCCTAAATTGTGATCAATCTATCCCAGAAAATGTTTTATGTGCAGTTGAGAAGTATGTGTATTCTGTACCTGTTGGATGGAATTCTGTATATGTCTGTTATGTCATTTGATCTACAATGTAGTTTAACTTTGATTTTTATTGATTTTTTGTCTGGATGATCTGTTCATTGCTGAAAATGAAGTATTAACACCCCCTACTATTATTGTATCACAGTCTACTCTCTCTTTAGTTTTTAATATTTGTTTTATATACTTAGGTGCTTCAATGTTGGGTGGATATATATTTACAATCATTATATTCTCATTGTTGATATAACTTTCAATATATAATAACTTTTTTCTCTTTTTAGAGTTTTGAGCTCTATTTCATCTTGAATGAATATAGCTACTCCTTGTTTTTTTTGGTTTCCATTATCACATAATATCATTTTTTATTCCTTTAATTTCAGTCTATGTATGTCCTTAAAGCTAAAGTGAGTCTCTTTTAGGCTGCAAATATTTGGGTCTTGTTTTTGTTTTTGTTTATTTAAAATCTATTAAGTCACACTATATCTTTTGATTGGAGAATTAAATCTGTTTACATTATAGGTAATTATTAATAGGTTAAAAACTTACTATTGGCATTTTGTTAATTTCTTTCAAGTTGTTTTGTAGAACCTTTCTCTACTGTTGTCTTATTTTGTGGCTTTGTTAGTGGTATATTTTGATTCCTTGCTTTTTGAGTTTCTGTGCATCTACTATGGTTGTGATTATGATGAGGCTTACAAAATATATGTAATATTTATAACAGGCTATTTTAAGCTGAGAATGATATAATTCAGATTACAAAAACAAAACAAATAAACAAAAAAACCTCTACACTACTCCTCCCTCCATATTTTGAAACTTTGATGACACAATTTACATCTTTTTATATTGCATGTGTCTTATTTTAGCTATTATTTATATTATTTTTGACTTTTAACCTTTCTATTAAGGATGTAGTGATTTATACTTCATCATTACAGTATTATGGTATTCTGAATTTGATTATGTACATACATTTTGGGCAACTTCTTCTATTTTTTTTCTCTAACTGGTATCAATCATTTCAAGCTGCTGTAATGTTAAACAATTGCCACTTAACTGTTTTTGGTAAACATCCTGGGGATAGAGTTTTTGCCACTGAGTAAGCTCTGAATTAGGTTGAATAACAATAAGCCCTATGAATGGGGTCATCCTCAGTTTGCTGTGGATGAAGTTTTTGAGGGCCTATAAACTTGATCTGCCCCTTTTAGTGGCTTCTAAGTCACAAGGTTTTACAAGTGCCACCGTTGCAAGTGTGCTGTTTTTCAAGAGTACTATGGAGCTGGGGAGTGAAATGAGAATAGGGAAAGTTAAATGCCACAAAGCTCAATGTTTTTACCGAGATTCAGAAGCATTTCTGGAAGAAATACTGCTTAAATTGTTGCAAGTCTTTAATTTAATTTCCATGCTTTTAAAAAAGGCAATGTTGTCAAATGTCATTTATTTTCTTTTTGCTTTTATGGAGGAATGGATTTTCAAAGGTCTTTACCACCACAGAAGAGGCATATATCGAAAATTTGAAACTTAGATTAAAATAAACAATTGCTATAAAAAAACACTTGGCAAAACTGTCTCCAGATGACTTGAGAAACATCTATAATATTATATTTTTAGGAAATTTAGACAGTGGTTAGTAATATTTCCATGAAGAATATACAGGTGCAGTGTCTTCACTGGTGAATTGTTATAAACATCCAGCTTAAAAAAATTAGGAAAAGAGGAATTCCAAGGTTACGCAAATCTTTTAGAATAGAAAAGCAGGATTACTCATATCGTTTTATGAAGTTACCATAAAACATATAGTTACACCTGGCAGAGACAACACTGAGAGAAAAATTAAGTCTGGTCTTGCAATTGAACATATATGCAAGAATCCTAAACTATTCCAGGTAATAGAAATTGATGTCAAATTAATTGTAATTAATTTGATGAGAAATTTAATAAGAAAAACTTTCCATAATAAGTGTTGAAAATAAAATATATATATAATTATTTTCACATATGCAATGAAAATCCACTTAATAAAATTTAACATCCATTCAAGATTAAAAAAAAAACTCACGGTAAACTAATATAGGGGACTTCTTTATTCTGTTAAAGCTTATCTGCAATAAAACCTGCAGCGAGCATTATTTTTGATACGCTTTAGAAATATTTTCCTAGAGATATAAAACAAGGCAAAGTGTCTCTTGATGCCTACTGGCATTTTATTAAATGGCATGGCCAACATATGAGGCCAGAAAAATTAATATAATGTGTATGGATTGGAAAAGAAGGAATACAATCTGTCATTATTTGGAGATTATATGACTGTGTACATAGAAAACAGCTAATAAATCATTAAAACTAAGAAGAGCTTAAAAATCAATACAGAACTTATTTGTAGTTCCATATGTCACAGCAACAATAACAGCTACAAAACCCTCAAAATTTCATTAGCATAAAACTACTATTTACCTAAAAATATATCTAATACCAGATTTGCAAGCTCTGTACAGAGAAAAATGTAAACCTTTACTGGGAGTAATTTAAAATATGTGTCAATAAATGGATATATTGATGTGCTGTAGACTTTATGTTATATATATATGTTATATATATATATGTTATATGTTATATATTATGTTTTATATATATATATATATATAATCTTTACCCCAACTGATGTACACAGTACAATGTCAACTGATATCTAATGATTTGTGCATGTGAAAATTGACAAGCTGGACTCTTAAATCTGTAGGAAAATGCAAATGTCAAGAATATTCAGGATATTCCTAGAGTATTCCCAGAGAAGTATAAGAAAAATGGGACAACTCACTTCACTGGAAAACAAGAAATTCTATTGTCTATGGAAAATATAGTTAATATTTTGGCTTATGGATTGACAATTCAACAAAAGAGAAAATATCTCAGAAACAGACCTACACACTTTGGATACTTGCATACGAGAGAGGTTTTGTAGATCCACGGGAAAAGGACATCTGTTTCAATATATGGTGCTGGGACAATTAGATATCATACAGAAGAAAATAGAACAGACATACAAAAATAAGAAAAAAACAAATCTATAACATTTGCAAATATATTTACAAAAGAGGAGCCAAATAAACTTTGCAGAAATAAAAGTTAATCCCATTAGTCATGACTAAAATACAGTTTAAGATCACAATGACTTAAAATTGTGAACATTAAAGAAAGGTAGCATTTAACATTCTGACAAAACCAACTGGTGACAAGTATGTGGAGCAACAGAAATTCTAATATACTGTTATTCAGAATCTACATTTTACAACCAACTGCCATTGTCTGGTAAAAAACAAAACAAAACTTGATCCAGAATTCTGCTAAGTGCACTCATAAATTCTCCAGAATACCTGGCCCCAAAATGCACATAACTACACAACTTGTAAGACCTCTGAATTAGAAATAACTCAAAATTTCATCAACATTACATGGCAATATGGTGGAGTAAACATTCAGTAGGATAGTATAGGAAATGAATAAACAGCAATGCATTAACATTGTTGCATTTTACAAGCATAATGTCAAGTTTAAAAGAAATGTTTCAGAAATGACATATACTAAAATTTTCAATTTATATACAGTTTTTGGTAAAACTGACCTGGCGCGGTGGCTCACACCTGTAATCCCAGCACTTTGGGAGGCCGAGGCAGGTGGATCACCTGAGGTCAGGAGTTCGAGACCAGCCTGACCAATATGATGAAACCTCATCTCTACTAAAAATACAAAAATTAGCCAGATGTGGTTGCATGCACCTGTAACCCCAGCTACTCGGGAGGCTGAGACAGGAGAATCGCTTGAACCCTGGAGGCAGAGGTTGCAGTGAGCCGAGATCGCACCATTGCACTCTAGCCTGGGCAAGAAGAGCGAAACTTCATCCCTAAATAAATAAATCAAACAAATTTTTAAAAAGTTGGCAAAATTTATGGCTTAAGAAAGCAGTTATCATGATAAAACTGTTTTGAAATATTAGTAATAATTATAGCATAGGATAGTGGTTACCTGTAGGGAGGGGCTGGAGGTGGTTGTGAAAAGGAAGGGACACAAAGAGGGTTTGGGGATAGCTTCCAATGTTTTATTTATGACAAATTGGGTGGTTACATGGAAGGTCACTTAATAAGTGTTTGTTAATCCATACATAGATATTTTATGCAAGTACATTTTCTCAGTATATGTTGCATTTCTCAATAAAGTTGTTAAAAATGAAGCATAAAATAAAACAAGTTTGAAAAATTAGCTGATTCTTGCAATCAAGCTATAATAATATGAAAGTGTGTATAATCTTACTTCATGAAGGGAAAGCATGATGTGTAGTTAGAGTAGTTCATTCAAGACACTTAAAGAATAATAAAATATATATGCTTTGGAATAAGTTTTATTTCCACTATTTTCTATATTGGTAGCTGCTCCCTAATTCTATGTCATCTTCTGTGCTCTTTTCCCTGCACTTTGGACTCAGAAATCCTAGCTTGCTCCACCTTGCTGGTCTTTGGCTTCCCAGCTTTTTTCACCTGTAGAGTGGCGATTTCAGACTTCATCACTTTCCACTCTCTAATCAACCTCTGTCATTTTTTTTCTGCTTTCAAGCATTTCCAGTGATGCTTGAAATGCTTTTCTTTGGCTTTTTTACCCTCTCCACTTATTGTTCTCATTTTGCTTTCTTTTCAATTCCAAATACTTGGAGTGTATATTCTTTTCCTGCTATTTCCATTTAGTTTGTCCTGGGCTCACGCTAAATTGGTTTTGTCTGAGGTCACACATGTGATAGTGTCCAGTGACCTCTTCAAACGCATCTCCCATCCCTCTTCTCTTCCAAACTGCATTCATGTTTGTACTGCAAACAGCACAGCTAGTCATCCTCCCATTTTCAGCCTTTCTCTCCAGGTTCAGTATTGATTCGGCATTAATTTTGACCTATTTTTGTAATTTCTTTAGTAACTCTTCCTCTATACTTTCTAGTTAAAATGAGAAACCCACCAGTTTATATCTTTAAATATCAGCTTTCTTCATTATACTTACTCTCTTAGTTAATTTACCTTTGGATTTTATCAGTTGTGTATAATTGATCTATGTATTACCTTTTCTCCATTAAATTTGTAGATAACATATTCTTCATGTACATCTGCAAGAAAAATATTTTGCATTTGGTATTTGCTTCTTTTATACTCTATACGGAAGCAGTCACTGAATTTTCCACTTCTTATTTTACGACAGTAAAACTGATTAAAAGCTATGAAATGGCTAAGTGGGGTTGTATCAATCAGGTTTAAAAATAATCTTCTTAAATTAGCCAGAGAGTAAACGATGTGCTGCAGCAACCAAAAACCTACAAATCTCAGTACCTTACAATAACAAAGGCTTAATTCTTGCTCACATGCTACGTATTCATAATGGATTGGCTTAGGGCTTGCTCCATGTTGTCTTTAGCCCAGAACTAATTTGACAGAAAAAAATCTCTGGGATATTAATATTCTTAGAACACGGAAAGAAAAATAACACAATGAACACTATGCTGATTTTCAAAGCAACATTTCTGAAAGGAATTTTACCCTCAGTCACTTTTTATTGGCCAGAGCAAGTCACATTGACTTCTATGAACCAAGCAGTTAACAATTCAAACTAATATAACAAAGTAATCTAAAATAAAAATAACTTAGAGAAAAGAGGACTTGTCCACTGTATTAGTCCGTTTTCACAATGTATTAGCCCATAACTGTATTACTCACAGTTCCTCGTGGCTTCCGAGGCCTAAGGAAACTTACAACCATGGCAGAAGGCAAAGGGGAAGCAAGCTTGGATATTTTCACATGGCGGCAGGAGAAAAAAGTGAGGAGCCAAGGGTAAAGAGCCCCTAATAAAACCATCAGATCTCAGGAGAATTCACTCACTATCACGAGACCAGAATGAGGGAAACAGCCCCCGTGATCCAATCACCTACTACCAGGTCTCTCCCGAGACACTTGGGGATTATGGGGATTACAATATGAGATGATATTTGGGTGGGGACATAAAGCCTAACCATATCACCCACATAAGAGTTTCAAGCTAAGCAATCCATGTATGTGAGATTGCTGTGTTACCTATGATTAATTAGGTTCCAGGTTGATTCCGTTTGTTGCCCAACAAAAGCATTGCCATCATATGCATGACTGAAGCTGAATCACTACACCCAGATTCCAAACAGTGAAAAGAGAAGAGTGAGCTTGGACAAACACATTCTTATGACCCAGTTCTGTATATCATCCATTTTCTATCTATTCACACTTCATTGGTATGAAAGTAGTCACAAAATTATCATGACAAATATTGAGATTGTGATTCAGGTTGCATTGTTTCTATACATATATCTTGGTAGAGATGATGAATTTATAATATTGGTCTTCTCAGCCATCAATATGGCATATCTCTCCATTTATGTATCTGTATTTCAAACCACACTCAATAATGTTTGGCTATGCCTAACTGCCACAGATGCTGAGAAGTGCCACTTCCCTGTCTTGGAAGAAGAGAATAAATGTTCAGGGCATTATTGATTATTTAATAATGAAATCAGGACAAATTGAAAGTAAGCTTTATTTCACTGGAATGTATAACTTCAGGATCCATACTTTCTTATATTGAGTTTTCAACATCATGTAACAAGGAAAGTGAGTGTTTTAAAGTGTATATAAACTTAAGACATCATATCTAGCTCATCATTTTAATTTCTATATCAGAAGCTCTTTTCATTAAATATAATAAATTCTTCAGTATATATACCTTTACTATTTTTAAAAAATGTGCTTATTTTTCTAAGTAAAAAGTAAAATAAACATATATATTTAATTATGTTCACTCTTTTCCAAATTGTGTACATTGTTTCAACAGTTTGATAAAATAATTTATAATAAAAATATTGAATTTCATTAAAACTGAATACTAAATGTGGTTACATCACTCTTTTTTACTTTTTTAAAAAAGAAGAATTTCAAATTTCTAAGTAGCTATAATGACTTAAAATGCTGTGTTTCCCTTTGCTATTTTTGCTAATTTCCTCATTATTCTCATAATTTTTAAAACTCTTATACTTTATATTTTATATCCTAATTTCCTGTACACTTGAAGTAACTGCTCCTTTTGGGATCCCAATGCTCCTTTCATCCTTACCATTAGATATAATCTAAGTTACCTTATTAGTCTTTAAGATATCTCAATGTTATTATTAAAATGTTTATTATTTTTTCTTTGAGCCTTTTAAGCAAAGGCTTTGATATTTTATTTTAGTTAATTTTTCATTTTATCTACACCTACTAATCTAGAAATTTCAGGGTGTTTTTCTAAATTACCATATAAATTCACAGTATAAACTACTAATTTTTTTTTTAGCTTGGTCCTATCACTAAAAATAAAAGATGTAACAATCAATTAATAAAATGAAACCGCTTAACCTTCCACCACATTTTTTTAATTATTAGTGACAAATGTTCCACAAAGTAAATATTTTGATCCACACATTACTATAGCCTATTGACAGTTTCAGAGAATGCAGTGTTGCATGTGTAATAATATTGTAAGCTAGAATACAAATCAGCATAAACAAATTTAGACTTTATCACAAATGTACTTAGTTACATATTAATTCCAAAAGCCACTCTTCTACCCATGGCTCTGTAAAAGATGAAAATGAAAGAAAATAATATCTGAAACCTTTTGTCTCTGATATACTCATTTATCCAGGAAGAAAATTGCAAAGCGATAACATTAAGGCAGTTTTCCTATATTTAACAAGAAATAAAAGGTCAATTGAAAGTAATAAACCTTTGTGATTTTCTAATCTAATTGCCATCAATGCACAAATTATTCTGAAAGAGAAAATGATTTAATAAGGGTTTACATTTGGCTTAGAAGAGACAAAGGAACTTGTCAAGAAGTGTTGGAACAGTTCTCATGATGGATATTTTTGAGAGTACTCTCATTATGTAAATCAATATAAATATACTGTTGCTCTGTAGATGCATGTAAATGCTAGAAAGTTCAGATTCACAGATGCTATCTTCCCTAAAAAAAGCAGTTAATTTCAGGAGTAATTAATAACTTTTTGACCTCTATAGGAGGCTTGAAAAAAAGATAAAATGGAGATTATAAAGAGAAATAGAAGATATACTATTATCTGCTGGACCCCATTTTTTATTAGATCAAATATACAAGGAAGCCGGACTTCAAAGAAATATATTAAACACTGAATGCTAACATATTAACAGGATACAAATGGTCAATAATTACTTTCTCCCCCCTCAATCCTCTTTAGGTGAATTTCTTGAGAAATATTAAAAGGATCTTACTAATTCTGAAATAAGCTAGTAATATAGCATGCCTGAGGCCTTATCTCATGTGAATTGAAAGTATGTGTCATATTTTAAGTAAATAGTAACAATTTAGAAAAAACCTTTCTATTGAAAATAAGTTTAAATGTTGGTGGCAAAGATACTAAGAATCAAGCATAGATACCAATGACATTTTCACTTAAAGGTAGTAAAATTTTATAATCATTTTAATTATGTTTTTAGCACAACTAATGAGCAATTTGGCTTATTTTTGGGACACTCTGGAGGAAAACTATGGAACAATGACAAAAATTAAAACATATTTCCACTCCATGGTATATGATTTTACAGCATTTTACAGTTAATTCACAGTTTATCTCCCTAGCTAAACCATTTCTTGTCCCTTTTAGAGAAATAGATTTTCTATTCAATTGTTACAGTGCCATATCAATGTCATGCTCATCATGTGAGTATTTCATGTTCTCTTTCTTGTTTGAATCAATGGATCAGTGGCCTCTGACTTTTGAACCAAGTCCAGACTGACCCAAACTCCAAAATGTAATCAGCAGTTTATTTTGAAGATGTCAAGAATAGTACACAAAAAAGACATTGGAATTATTCTTATTATTTTCTATAATAGATGACCCAATATATCATCCATATATGATCAGATTTGTTTCTATGTAATTTATTTGTTTTAGGAGATTTGGGGGAGAGGGTTTAGATTCCTTAGAATTTTCTACATAATTAAACTATCATGTCAGTTGCTAATAAAGGCTGTTTCATTTTTCAGGGTATAAAGCCTTAATGTCTGATTTTCATTATCCTCTATCTCCATAATTCCCAATAGAAAAAAATTGAAGGGTTTGAGATTAAGTTGTTCCAGATTCCTATTAGAGTCACAATTTTGAAGTTGTTGATCCTCTGTATTGTATTTCCTATTATATTGTCTTGTATTTCATTCACTTATGTTCTTACATTTCTTTTTCTATCCTTCGATATTCCTTTAGGTCTATTATTAATTTTTAAATTTCTTCAGATGGTTAATTAGTCCATCAATTTCTAATGGTTTTCTTCTCTAATATAATTATTCAGTCTATACTGTAAGCCTCATATAACTTCATCTCAAAACCACATATAGTATTTTATTACTTTTGAGTTTTAAATATTTCCAAATTTCCCTTATGTTTTCTAAAAATGGGTATGAATATTAAAATGAATTTCCTAATTTCCAAAACAGATATTATTTAAATTTATTTTTATTTATAAAATTATTACATTATGATGAAATAGCATTACAAGATTTAAATTTTCACGGTTCCTAGAAGTTTCCTCAATGGTATTTAATTTATTTATTTCATGTAATAATTTGAATTTGCTTATAATACTTGAATTCTGCAGTTGTATTTTTTAATATATGTTCCTTAGGTTCTTTGCTAATTATGTTACTAAAAAACCTATATTTCATTCTAAAAATTTTTTAACTTAAAGTGGTATGTATTAGTCTCATCCAATAATACACCCTTCTATCATGATACTCGCACTATTATTACATCTATACATATATGTGTGTATACCACTTTCACATATACTCTACATTATTATGTATGTAGTAACTTAAAGTTATACTAATTTCCTAGATAATTGAACTTTTATAGTTACAAAGTAACCCCTTTAAACTCCATTTTTAAACAATGTCTATTTTATTTGGTGGTTAGACTTAGTTTCCTAGGTATAAAATTTGTACAAATATGTTCAACTTTTCTTCATATATGGTTTGACAGGTACATTTTTACACATAGTTGTCACTTTTTTCAAAGTCCAGTCTGACAATGATTAATTTTATATATGATAGACTACAGTTATTTTTATTGTTATATCATTATATTCATTACTATTTGTCTTGATTGATGTTTCTTTTTTCCTAATTTCTTGATTGCTTTTGATTCCATGTGTATGTTGTCTTTTTGTTTTTGAAATTTGTTCTATTATTTTGAAATGCATACATTCTTCTTGAATTTCTTAGTGATTACCATATACCTTAGCACACTTTATCTCCCTTCACCGCTTGCCAATTTCTATGTTATTGCTGTCATAAATTTTAACTTTAGCTATTTTTTTCCTGTGTAAACTCCATATGTCATTAGTTTTTGGTGTTTTATACTGTTGAATATTCCAGAACTTTCATTTGTTTTCATTAGCAATAATATACAGATTCTTGTTGGTACTTTAACCTTAAAACTTACCAGGAATAGAAGCCTCTTATCCTCTCTTTATTTTTAGCTTAAATATATGTGATGTATAACAATTTAAATGGTACTAGAAAATGTATAACAATCACAACAACAAATAAAATTCCAGCAGTCCTATGCCTAAATTCTTTCCAGCTCTCAATTCTACTTCCAGAGACATAAGTCTTTAAATATTTAAGATTGTTTTGGTAAGCCCCTTAACGTTTTAAACTTCATTGTTCATTTTTTAAGCAAGAACAGCATCTGCACTCTTATGTTTTCTAAAATATGGTTTCTACATTTCTGTTTCTTCACAGAATTATTGAGTTCATGTTTCGCTTGGTGTCATCTTCTCTCCTATTCTCTGATTTTTGGGATTGATATAGCTGTATTATTTTCCTAGTTTAGTTTCCCAGGAGATTAGATGCATCTTTTATTTCTCTTTTTAGCTTTGTTTTCCTCTCTCAGTTTATGTTGTTACCATTCTCTGTATGTCTTCACTGGATTTCAGGCAAAGATAGTATCATTTGCAAGTCAAAAAAATGTATATGTCACAGAACATTTGTTAGACTTAGGATAGTTCTGTAAGGGTTAACATGACAGAGGTTAGGCAAAGATAAGTGAGAAAGGAAGCTGAAGAGACTGTCAGAAACCAGACTATGAAAAGTCTTAGGTGTCATACTTTGGGTCAGATAATGTAACAATGGAAAATAAAATTATTTAGCAGTGGAAAGGCAATGAAGGATTCTAGATACTCAAAATCTTATCTGCATCATTTAGAAACAGCTCAGCAGCTCGAGTTTAGAATGGAAGGGAGCGGGTGGAAACAACCACCAAAAAGAAAAGTTTACAGCAATCAAAGGGAGGGATTGTTAAGAAGTGAACTGTGGCTGTGAGGATAAAGGAAAACAGATTTGTTAGGATGAGTGAGTTATATAAAAAGTTTTGAGTAGAAGTTGGTGATTAATTAAACATAAGAGGTGAAAGAGAAGTCAAAGATTATTGTAAGCCACGGGTCAGAAAACTTTTTTTTCTGTGAATGTCCACACTTTGCTGGTTTAAGCAACTAAGAGAATTATAGTGACATCACCTGAGATGGACACAAAAAGAACATGTTTGAATAGGAAGATAATGAGTTCAGCTTTGGATATAACCAATCCAAATGACTAATATTTTTAGCTTCAGCATTCTAGTTCTAAACTTCAATGTGGGTCCAAAAGAGAATGTCTGTTTATGGCAAAAAGTGCTATGCTCCACACACATGCCTAGACTTTGATTGCTATCATAGAGCTTAAACTTCATAATAATTATAGAAACATTACAAATTGGTTCTATTCTAAGGAAACAAAATACAAAAGCATTTGTTTTGTTGGTAATTAATTGCATGAGAGTAGAATTTTTCAAATATTCCTTTAAATAACAACAGACAGAGTGGCAGGCCCTTCTGAATATTTTACTTGGTCTACAATGTTTTGTTTTACTTTAAAAAAATCAAATTCAAATTCAAATTTGAAACTATCAAATTCAAATTTGTATTTAATCAATCACATGAAGAATTTTTGACAAGTGGAAGCAAAATAACTAAAAATGTAATACATAAAATGAAAAGCCTACTTTACATTAAAAAATAAGACAGTAAAAGTAATTTTTAGAATGTTGAAAATAATGTCATTCAGAACAAGGTGAAGCATACTGTAACTTTTAAAATCAGAAAACTCTAAGTTTTATATATTACAAAGTCGATCATCAACCAAAGTTCATTTCCTTATTTCTACTGTACTTCTGATTCCGTGGCCCTGGTGTTAAAAGTATTAATTTTTATATATCAGTCCTCTTCTGTATTTTTTTTTTCTTGAGATGGAGTCTCACTCCGTTGCCCAGGCTAGAGTGCAGTGGCACAATCTCGGCTCACTGCAACCTCCGCCTCCTGGGTTCAAGCAATTCTCCTGTCTCAGCCTCCTGAGTAGCTGGTACTACAGGCGCCCGTCACCACGTCCGGCTAATTTTTGTATTTTTAGTAGAGGTGGGGTTTCAACTTGTTGGTCAGGCTGGTCTTGAACTCCTGACCTCAGGTGATCCACCCTCCTCAGCTTCCCAAAGTGCTGGGATTACAGGCATGAGCCACTGCACCCGGCCCCTCCTCTATTTTTTAGTGCCAAAGAAATATGTTCAGTCTTCCAAGCAACTAGCCTTGTAGTCGTTTTTCATATCTGTCATACTGAATATTCATGTTTGATTTGTCTTATGTCATTCTAATAATTTCTCATTAATTTACTTTTTATATAGGTAATACATTTACAGAGTTCAGTATCTGAATATAGGTTCCACATCCACTGTATGGCAGCTTTATTTTCTAAACAGTCTTCTCACTAGAAAACAACTAGATCTTAGGAAAAATACATATTTTTTATTTTTTTCCTAAACTTTCAGAAAATAAAAGACTACTCCAGCCTCCTTTCCCCCACAATGTAACTAAAACTGGAACTCAAGAGCTGTAAGCAGTGAGCAGTGAGAAAGTGGTGGATGGTGGTATAATTTGGGCAAAGTCAATGGTGGTATTGCTATTGGGAGGCTATGCCCTGGGACTGTGGCATGGTAAATTGAACTTGATACTCCTTCCTTAACCAAGATTAAAAAGATGGGGAGGTAAATCAAACAAAGATTCACATAAAAGGAAAATATCACCTATTGTGTCCTTATAATACATAACATTTTTTAATTGAATGAATAAAATAAAATTGATTTTGGGGTGCAAATCTATGTTTTGTTTTTAATGCTATTAAAATATCTGAAAGAAAAATATACACTGGATTATAGATCTTATTGATAGGCAATCTTTACTCCAGTAACTTCTTTTGTTTACTAATTTTTTTTTTTTTTTGAGAGGGAGTCTCGCTCTGTCGCCCAGGCTGGAGTGCAGAGGCGCGATCTCAGCTCACTGCAAGCTCTGCCTCCCGGGTTCATGCCATTCTCCTGCCTCAGCCTCCCGAGTAGCTGGGACTACAGGCGCCCACCACCACATCCGGCTAATTTTGTTTTTGTGTTTTTAGTAGAGATGGGGTTTCACCGTGTTAGCCAGGATGGTCTGGATCTCCTGACCTCGTGATCCGCCTGCCCCGGCCTCCCAAAGTGCTGGGATTACAGGTGTGAGCCACCGTGCCCGGCCTGATTACTAATTTTTAAAGGTTTTTCTTCCTGTTCTGGAAATGAAATATGGGAGAATCACATTTTCCTCTGAGTAAAAACAGCAATTTCAACTACTGTCTCTTCATCAATTCTAAATAGCAAAACAGTAAGTATAATTTTGAGTACCATAAATCTCTACTCTTCCTTTAAAAAAAATTGTACAGATTTAGACATATGTGATGTATGTGTGTGCATGTATGTGTGTGTGTGCATACCACTCATACATACTCAGCCATGAAAAAGCAATCGTGTCTTTTGCAGCAATATAGATGAAACTGGAGGCCAATATCTTAAGTGAAATAACTCTGAAACAGAAAATCAAATACTGCATGTTCTCACACGTGGGCCATTACATAATGTGTACACATGGATATAGAGATCCCATATATAACACACATATATATGTGTGTGTGTATATATATATCTATATATATCACATATATATGTGTGTGTGTATATATATATCTATATATATCACATATATATGTGTGTGTGTATATATATATATGTCACATATATATGTGTGTGTATATATATACATATATCTCATGTGTGTGTGTGTATACCCGGATTTAAAAATGTTATTTATATATATGTGTGTATATATATATGTATATATGTATATATATCACATTTTCTTTATCCAATCCTCCATTGATGGACACTTAGGTTGAGCCCATATCTTTGCTATTATGAGTAGTTCTGTGATAAACCTACAGTGCAGGGATCTTTTATACACAATGATTTATTTTCCTTTAGATAGATACCCAGTAGGGGGATTGCTGGATTGAAAGTAGTTCTATTTTTGTTCTTTGAGAAATCTCTGTACTGTTTTCTATAGAGGTTGTACTAATTTATGTTCCTACCAAGTGGACAAATGTTCCCTTTTCTGCACATTCTTGACAACATCTGTTGTTTTTTGATTTTTTAAAAATAGCCATTCTGACTGGTGTGCAATGGTATCTTGTTATGGTTTTAATTTGGATTTCTCTGGCATTATTGATATTGAGCACTTTTTAATATGCTTGTTGGCCATTTTGTGTCTTATTCTGAAAAATATTTGTTCATGTCCTTTGACTACTTTTAGTGGAGTTATTTGTTGTTTTTTTTGTTCTTGTTGTTGAGTCGTTTTACTTCTTTATAGATCCTGGATATTAGTCCCTTGTCAGATGCATAGTTTTCAAATATTTTCTCCCATTCTGCAGGTTGTTTGTTCACTCTGTTATTTCTTTTGCTGTGCAGAAGCTTTTTAGTTTAATCAAGCCCTGTTTGTGTATTTTTGTTTTAGTTACATTTGCTTTTGAGGTCTTAGTAGTCGTGATCTCTTCGCCTAGGCCAATGTGCAGAAAAGTTTTTCTTAGGTTTTATTCTAGTATTTTTATAGCTTCAGGTTTTATGTTTAGATATTTAATCCATCTTGAGGTAGTTTTTCTATATGGTGACAGATAAAGGTCCAGTATTATTGTTCTGCATGTGGCAATCTAATTTTCCCAGTACCATTTATTGAATAAGGTGTCCTTTCCTCAGTGTAGGTTTTGGTTGACTTTGTCAAAGATGAGTTGGCTGCAGGTATGTGGCTTTACTTCTGGGGTCCCTATTCTATTCCATTGATCTATGCATTTATTTTTATACCAGTATCATGCTGTTTTGCCTCTTTCTTTTTGAGATTTTAGTTGTTCTTCATTTAACATGTCAGACTGGAAAAAAGTACTGCACAGAACCAGCTCTTTATTCATCCTGTCACACTATCAGTCTATTCTTTGGTTTACAGTTTTACCCAACAAAGTAAGATAAATTTTTCTGAAAATACACAATTTACAGACATTAACAATTTGATTGCTTTGAATTACTTAATCAAAATTCTCCAGACGATTCATTATCCATAAAGGAATACTTTCACTATCCTCAGCATTATTTTGTAGAATTTTTGCTTTAAATATAAACTGACAAACTGCTTTGTAGTTTCAAATGTTCTGGAATTGTGTGAATTGGGAAAGCATAGGTGTACATGTGAAATTATAATGGTGTCATATAACATGCACACTTTCAACTTTTTAGTTATTTTTCATAAAATATGAATGTTTATCCCATGGCTGTTTAGTTTGACCAAAATCATCCTTCTGTCTAAATCACAATATAAACACATTTCTACCAACCATTTTAAATTATTTTTTAACTTGCCATATTTTTTCTATAAATATGCGAGCTTAAGAAATACCATGAAATCATAGGACTAGATTTCTTTGTTAGACAATATAAAACAGATCTTGACCTTTTCATGGCAAAATTTATATCATATAATTTTACACCTCTTGTGCCTGAATAACAATACATTATTAAAGAGTTTTTAATGAATGAATGGATAAATGAATAAATGTTTCAACAGAAGGCCTGAGATTATTGAATTAATTTTATCAACATGTATTTATTTAAAGCTATCATCTTGCCCTTATTACTAAATAATAGTATGGAGTAAATACAGACTTACTTAATGGCTAATTGGAAAGAACTTATTGTATGTAGATATATGTTCATTTGTTTCGCATTTTATTATTTTAAATACCCATAAATTGAAATTAGGACTTCGTTTTATTTTTATACAGCCTTCATAATGATGAATGAATTTTAAATAATACATCATCTATTTATTTACATATGGATTGCAAAAATATATTAACGAACATATCTTAGTTTTTTAAGAAAAAAATTCATGTGGGGTAAAGGTAAATTGATACATTCACACAAACAGGCAATTGTTGAATATTTCACGTATATTATGCTATTAGCTATGTACTAAATATCAAAATGATTTAAAAAATGATGTGGGGTTTTGTAGAAGGAATCAACATGTTTGGATTTATTTCTCATGGGAGGTTTTAGACAGGGCTGAGATGAGAAATACAGAAAAATAACATTATTTTAAGGAAATGTTTTGATGTTGCTGAGTTTGAAGTATTGTTGATCATTTAAGTAAAGCATCTATTCTAATGATTAGACACTGTTTAGTTTTATATGTCTGTTTGGTTAGGCTGCATTCTCCGGTTATTTGATCCAACACTAATCTAGGTGTTTCTAGGAAGGTATTTGGTTGAGGTGATTAAAGTCCTGATTGTCCAGCACAAGCTAGGTGGGAGTGATTGAATCAGTTGAAATGCCTTAAGAGTAAAACTAAAGCTTTTTCTGAAAATGAAGTACAACTATGGACATCAGAGTCAACTTATGCCCAAGAGTTACAGCCTGTCCTTCCTGATAGCCTGCCCTGCAGATTTCATACTTGCCAAATAAACCCCACAATTGCATAAGCCAATTCCTTGTAATCTCCTGTATATCCCTGGATGAACTTTGATTGTTACCGGGACTTTAGAATCAAAATCCCTGATTGAAATTCATACTTCACCACACATTAGCTAATTTCAAACAAACTAATTAAACTCTCAAGTCTTGGTTCCTCATTTGTTAAATATTAATAGTAACAGTAACAGTATCTGTTTCTTGGGTTGTTGTGAGGATTAATTGAGATAATCCATATTGTATTAGTCCGTTCTCAGGCTGCTATAGAGAACTGCCTGAGAATGGGTAATTTACAAAGAAAAGCGTTTTAATTGACTCACAGTTCCACATTGCTGGAAAGGCCTCAGGAAACTCACAATCATGATGGAAGGCAAAGGAGAAGCATGCACCTTCTTTATAAGGCAGCAGGATGGAGAAGGAGTGAGTGCAAGCAGGGGAAATGCCAGACACTTATAAAACCATCAGATCTCGTAAGACTCATTCACTATCATGAGAACAGCATGGGGGAGCCACACCCATGATGCAGTTGCCTCTACCTCGTCCTTCCCTTGACACGTGGGGATTATGGGGATGACAATTCAAGGTGAGATTTGGGTGAAGACACAGAGCCGAGCCATATTACATATCAAAGCTTATTGCATAAGTAGTGTTTAGCACAAAGTATGTACTTAATGTTAGCTGCCATTTTCTTAAAATATTATTACTTAGAAGAAGATCTACAAAAGAAGACAAATGATTGAAACTCAGGAGAGACATCTAGATATGGCTGAACTTAGGGACCTTCAACATATAGAGTGGAAGATGACCCACAGTTTGTATAGGTTCATTCAACTATCAATTGAAGAATGCATAGGTGTTACCCAAGAGTAAACAAGATTAATGAGTAAATCTATTCACTCTACATGGAAGCTAAATTCCATTTTATAATCTCCACTCATAAATATTTGTTAGTGTCTTAGTTGAAACCGTAGAAAATATGATTACCACATTGTATGTAATAGAAAATAATGTAGTTTGCCTTGTGTTTAACACAACTTAAAACTGCCAGCATCTGCTTTATTCCTCAGTGCTTTGTTTCTGGAACCACAGATCTCTCTTCCCTACCAGTGTCCCTAATAAACTATTTGTCTTGAATACACATTTCCCAGGGTCAGTTTCTGCAGAGACAAATACTATGAGATGGCATTTGAAATTTGGTTAAGAGATCAAAGGTATTTGTTGCTCTTACTTTTGGGTGATTTAGAAAAAAAATAAAAATACTTTAAAAAGGTGAACATAGCTTCTCTACTATTTCATAGATAAACACAATAATACTGTCATTCACTATATATAACCAAAGTGTAAGTTAAAATATTTGATTCTGGTGTTCTTATATATAATTTAGGGGAGTAGGTTGCTATCTGCCATTTATATCTTTGGATTGCTCTTCTGTTTGGTAAACTTTCACAATCAGTAGTAAGGGTATTCCCACTCTCATCTGAGACAGAAAGGAAAATTCCACAAAAAAGTACTGAAAGCAATCTGAGGGTTGAGGAAATACAGAAAAGTTACTGAGTCAAATATGATGATATGAAGAAACAAGCACTTGTTAGTATGACTGATAAACTATCACCTTAGAAATTGAGTAGAAGGTAATTGTCTCCATTATTTTCCAAGATAGAAACCAAATTTAAAAAGTCAAATTTAACAAATTTTGAGTTACAAGTAAAAAAAGCTAAACAATCTTGTGAAATATTTTCCCAGGAAAATGCATTAGGCTTTAACGACTGCACACTGTGTAATGGAAAGCATTCAAATTTACCTAAGAAAAACGTTTTGTAATGACTTTATTTGTTTTTTATAAACCTGTGAAATGATCATGTAAAAATTTCAAAGAGATACTCCCGGGTATGATGTTGAGAGGCAATTTTAGCACCTATTATAGAACTTCACAATGTAATATAACCTGTTGTGCCTTACTACTTAATCACATAATGGCATTTATAAATTGTTCACACTGCTTTGCAAAAATGTCTTGCCATAACACTGTTACGGCAACATGTATTTTTATTGTTATTTTTATGACATGAGAAAACATATCAAAGCACTCAGGAAACATCCTATGTGAGTAGCCATAACAGAATCACCAAGCAAAGCAAGAACTTTGTGAACAAAGAGTATATGTAATCATAAGTATTATTTTTTCATAAAACATTGCTATTATAAAATGTGCCTATTTTTAAGCTTTTCAAAGACTCAGTTACAGAAACATTATTATTGAAGCAAGGACAGTGAGACTACTTACTGTCACATTTTGTATATTTTCAAACAGGGAAATAAATTGATAATAATTTTCTATATCTCAGACAAATAGCAATTATTTATCATATTCTGTTATTGAAATCTATAAAATATTACAAAATATTTATACTAAATTGCTTATATTTTGATGTTATGTATACCTTATATCCCTGGTGACTATAAAATGAAGTTATAGATAAATTCCTAAAACGCTTAAGCAATAAAATATAAGTTTGTTATATGGTAATATAAAATCTTTTATGATTTTATTTATAGGAACAGTGACATGGATCTGGAGGAGCCTATATATGGAAAAAAATGTATTGAATTAATTGCCAAACATTTGTGCTTTAGTTTTAAAAGCACATTACCATGGAAATCATAATTCCAAAGAAATTTCTTTCATTACAGTTTCAAAAGAACCCAACTAAATTGTAAAAAGTGCCTTTCATAAATCTAATCTTAAGTAGTTATCCTTCATAGACATATCTGCGTATTCAAAGATGGTGAGAGGGTTTTCTTTTTATTATTATTATTATTATTATTATTATTATACTTTAAGTTTTAGGACACATGTGCACAATGTGCAGGTTAGTTACATATGTATATGGGTGCCATGCTGGTGTGCTGCACCCATTAACTCGTCATTTAGCATTAGGTATATCTCCTAATGCTATCCCTCCCGCCTCCCCCTACCCCACAACAGTCCCCAGAGTGTGATGTTCCCCTTCCTGTGTCCATGTGTTCTCATTGTTCAATTCCCACCTATGAGTGAGAATATGCGGTGTTTGGTTGTTTTTGCAATAGTTTACTGAGAATGATGATTTCCAATTTCATCCATGTCCCTACAAAGGACATGAACTCATCATTTTTAATGGCTGCATAGTATTCCATGGTGTATATGTGCCACATTTTCTTAATCCAGTCTATCATTGTTGGACATTTGGGTTGGTTCCAAGTCTTTGCTATTGTGAATAGTGCCACAATAAACATACGTGTACATGTGTCTTTATAGCAGCATGATTTATAGTCCTTTGGGTATATACCCAGTAATGGGATGGCTGGGTCAAATGGTATTTCTAGTTCTAGATCCCTGAGGAATCACCACACTGACTTCCACATTGGTTGAACTAGTTTCCAGTCCCACCAACAGTGTAAAAGTGTTCCTATTTCTCCACATCCTCTCCAGCACCTGTTGTTTCCTGACTTTTTAATGATTGCCATTCTAACTGGTGTGAGATGGTATCTCATTGTGGTTTTGATTTGCATTTCTCTGATGGCCAGTGATGGTGAGCATTTTTTCATGTGTTTTTTTGGCTGCATAAATGTCTTCTTTTGAGAAGTGTCTGTTCATATCCTTTGCCCACTTTTTGATGGGGTTGTTTGTTTTTTTCTTGTAAATTTGTTGGAGTTCATTGTAGATTCTGGATATTAGCCCTTTGTCAGATGAGTAGGTTGCGAAAATTTTCTCCCATTTTGTAGGTTGCCTGTTTACTCTGATGGTAGTTTCTTTTGCTGTGCAGAAGCTCTTTAGTTTAATTAGATCCCATTTGTCAATTTTGTCTTTTGTTGCCATTGCTTTTGGCGTTTTAGACATGAAGTCCTTGCCCATGCCTGTGTCCTGAATGGTAATGCCTAGGTTTTCTTCTAGGGTTTTTATGGTTTTAGGTCTAACATTTAAGTCTTTAATCCATCTTGAATTAATTTTTGTATAAGGTGTAAGGAAGGGATCCAGTCTCAGCTTTCTACATATGGCTAGCCAGTTTTCCCAGCACCGTTTATTAAATAGGGAATCTGTTGTCCAATTTCATTGGCTAAACCTCTTAGCCTTATATAAAATAGCAATAGTGATGAAATGCCAGATAGTACTCCAGAAGGCCGAATCAGGAGAACTAGGTAGAAGAGATGAGAATGCATGTTTTCATTTAATATAAACTAGTAAAATTTAAGCACTGGAACTCTTTAACAAACTGTTGTTGGAAGTATTCATGCTAAGTCAAATAGAGCCAGAAAAAAATAAATGATAAATCCTTAAAGTTGGTTTCTAACTGTGATGAACTCTATTTAGTTAAAACTGCAGCTTTTCAGTTTTTTATTGCTTCATCTGAAAATCTGAAACAGTTATACCTTCCAGTTCTAACATTCTAAAATACCTCCCAATCTCAAATATAGTACAGTTCCATGTTAAGAACATAAAAATTTAGACTGAAGAAGTTTTTATATGCCTTGCACAGTAGCCATTATTTTGAGAAAAGGCTGATGGGGGACTTTGGTTCCTTCCTGGTAGTCTTGTGATATTTCTCTTTAATCTCAACAATGACATGCTGTCATGCGATTTTGACATAGTGCTGTACCATTCCCATATGATACACTAACTGGACTTAGGAAAAAAATCATATTGATAAATATAAACTATGGTCTGGTTATATTCATAATAAATCATTTGGAGAAGGGTCTGTATTTGGTACACTTTCTAATATTGCCCCAATTGAATGTTTGTCCATTAATAGCAATCCCTGTTTAAAAGCATTTTGTTTCAGCCTTTTAGTAATATTGGACCATTGTCTTCTAATGTCCATTGTTGCTAATTTGAAGAATACTGCTGGTTTTTTTCCAGTGTCTCTGGGGTGATTTTTAAAAATATTTTCCTAGAAAATTTTTAGCCTTTATCTTAGTTCATTTTGTGTTACTGTAAGAAAATACCACATACAGGGTAACTTATGAAGAAAAGAAATTTATTTCTCACACAGTTCTGGAGGCTGGGAAGTTCAATATCAAGGGGCTGGCATCTGGTGAGAGCCTTTTTGTGGCATCATCCCGTGGCAGAAGGCAAAAGGGCAGGTGAGGAAGGAAATGAGAGTTACAGAAAGCTAAACTCACTTTATTATCTCTTTATGCTAACAATGTATGAGATGATATCAGTGTTTTACTGTGGAGTTTCTGATTGCCTTTCTTTTTTCTTGTTAGGTGAATAAAGGCAAGCCTACTTCCCAATATTCTGAGTGTTTTTTTCAATAACTGGAAACTAATTTGTTGTCTTATTGAACATACAGATTTTCATTTTAATTTGAACAGTTGGCTTTGTATGTACTATGTTCTCTTCTACAACTTTTTGTTTCTTCTGGAGATGCCTATGTTTTTTCTTTTTTAAAAAATATTTTCCTTCTTTATAAAATGTATAAGTTTTCTCAGTCTCTCCCTTGTATTTGCCATTCCACAGAAAAGCCTTTATTTCCTAGAAAACTTTTCTTTTGGATTTTTCTTACTTTCTTTTCCAAAGTAAAATAAGTGTAATTTTTTGTTCCTTTTACATGGCTACTGTCCTGGGACTTTCCTTTGACATTCACCTAGGTTGAATCCATTAATTATCTGATTACAAATCTAAATCAGGGGTTTCCCCATATAAATTATTAATAAAGGTTAAATAGGAAGTACACTTTCAAGTACTTGTGTGCCTGAAAATTATCTTTATCTTAATGCTTGATGGAAAGTTTGCCTGAATATGAAATTTTAGGTTTAAATTATGCTCCTTATAAATTTCAAAGTAATAAAGGAACAGAGAAATAAAATTATGCAGCTACTTTTTTGTGGGGAATTTGGCAGTTATGATAATGGTGCAAGACACAGATCAATCAGTTAATGACCATGTAGAGGGCAAGTACAAAGATTCAGAGAAAGAAGCAGACATTTGACAGCCCCATAGAGCTCAAGAGACCAAAATGATAAACTTCAGGGATTAGGATTCTGATGAGAAGACTGTAACAGAGAAATGAGTACATCAATCTGTTAATTTTATTCCCAAAACATTGGCTAAATTCTTAAGGATTATGAATCCTTATTATTGATTTTCTCAGCAGCTCCATAATGCCTTCAAACAAATGCATTTTTATCTGGATTGTCTACTTCTATTTTGATCTGGATTTTTTTAAAAACTTGTTTTGGCAGCAGCATTGATTTTTTGCAAACTACTCTGTCATACTTGAAAGTGGTACCATTGAGATCATAGACTTTTTTATATTGGTTACAGATCTACTAGATTCTCATGTTGTTTACAGAGATTTTTTTACATTGATTCTTGGTAGTTATCCAAACATATAATAATAACTCATAATCATGCCTCTCTCTTAACAACTGTAATGCATCTAATCCTTTCTGTTGTCCAATTTCATTGGCTAAGCCTTTTAGCCTTATATAAAATAGCAATAGTGATGATAATCATTCTTGTTTTTTTTTTTCTGACAATAGCAGGAAAGCCTCTAGTGTATCCCTATTAAGTAAGGTGCAAATTTATAGGGGATGAGGAATACATACATACACATATGTGTACATGATGATATCATGCTTAGGAAACACTTATCAAATTCTAATTTATTGACTACTTACAACATGAATATGTTTTGAGTCCTATAACATAATCCTTTTGCATCAATGAAGTTAATGACATGACTTCTCTACATAGATTAATTAAGATGGTGCTATAGATTGAATTGTGTTCCCCTTGAATTTATATATTGAAGTTCTAACCCCTAATATCTCAAAATATGACATTATTTGGAGATAGGGCTTTTACAGAGGTAATCATTAGAGTGGGCCCTAAACCAATATGACTGGTGTCATTATAAAATGGGGATGTTTGGTAACAGGCACGCATGCAGGAAAAGTGCCACAAAAATATGAAGATATCCATCTATAAGCCGAGGAGAAAGATCTGAAACAGATTCTGTCCTCACAGCCCTCAGAAGGAACCAATCCTACTGACATTTTGATTTTAAACTCATAGACTTCAGACCTGCGAGACAGTAGATTTCCATTGTTTAAGCCACTCAATTAGTAGTACTTTGTCATGGCAGTTTACCAAACCAATACAGATGGTAAGGACATTGGCAAAAATGGAGGAGTAAAGACTTCTAACAATTCTCTTCACCATAGAAGCAATGAGAAAACTAACAAAAATTTTCAAAATTAACTTTTCTAAAAAACTTTAGATATTAATAGAGGATTATAGCACTCTATTCAAGAATATTGGCTGAATCTCAGTAACAACAGTGAAATTTGTGGCTTTTAACCTGGACTATTCCTATCCCTCTGTTAGCTCTTAAGTAGCCTTGAAAATAAACATCTTGCAATCACAGAGAAAACTAGAAGCCTGGTATCCAATGGAGACAGCAGAAAGGGATTGGAGTGCCTTCGAGATCTCATTCCCCCAAAATATAATTATTTGACCTATCAGGTAGTTCCCTGAAAGACTCCATTTGCAGAGCTGTCTTAAGCCCCTTTTGCCCTTGGGGATCTTGTCAAAAACAACTGGAGCCAATTTTTTCACTCTGTGACTGCCTGAAGTGGCAGATAAGAGTTGGGGCAAACAAAAAGCAACACAAAGAGCTTAAAATGAAAACTGAGGAATGAGATTTTTATGGAGGCTTTGAAAATGTTGACATACTCCTGGGAATCTAGACAGACACAGAAAAATGTGAGAAAACCCTAAGTCTGTATCTCTGGCTGAACTTGAGGCTTTCTTCATGCAGAAAGTGAAACCTAAAAAAGTTTTCAACCGTGTAACTTAACACAGTGTTAAAGATGTACTCCAGAATGCACTCAGTGCTCTGCAACAAAGACTAGGAGATCTATTTTTGTACATAGGCTTTTAAATAAATCTCTGTATAAGGAGTAGATTATTAATAAGCTAACCAAGAAGAGATTTCAGTGGCCACATAATTAAAGAACACTGACTTCACAGATTTAGGTTAGAAAAGTCATAAAGTAAACAGTAACAATAACAAAGAAAACATAAACCAAAAACCCTGAGGGTTGTAGGGAATCCGATATTCAATAATTACCAAAATATACTATTTTAAATATCTGGTTTTCAACAAAAACTATAAAACATGTAAAAAAAAAAAAACTATAAGTGTGTTTCCTACATGGGGAAAAACTGAAAAACTGCTCCTAAAGAGTCTCAGCCATTAGAACTACTAGGCAAAGATTTTCAATCTGCGACTTTAAATATATCCATATAATGAAAGCAATTCATATATAAAGAACGAAAGGAAAGTATAAGAATAATATCTCACCAAATAGAGAATGTCAATAAAAACACAGAACTTTTTAAAAGAAGCAAACAGAAATTTGGACATTGAAAATTACAATAATGAAATGGAAAAATTCATTAGAGGGTTTCAATGGCAAATTTTAGAAAGCTGGAGAACTTAACAATATGTCAGTTGAGATTATCCAGCCTAAGAAACAGAAAGAAGAAAATCAAGAAATCAAGAAAAAAATCAGGAAAGAATGAAGAAAATCAAGAAGTCTCTGAAACCTGTGGGATATTATCAAGCATACCAATATATGGATATTGGTAGTTCAGAAGGACAGAAGATAAAGAAGCAGAAAGAATATGCAAAGAAATAATGGCTGAAAACTTCACAATTTTGATAAAACAAAACAAAAACCACTAGTCTACACATCCCAGAGGCTCAATAAACCCAAGTACTATAATTTGTAGATATCTATGCCAAGGTACATTATAATAAAACTCTCTAAAGCCAAAGACACAGATAGTCTTGAAAGCAGCAAGATAGAAGTGGCTTATCACAAACAAGGGATTCTGAATAATATTATCAGCTGATTTCTCATCAGAAAGCATAGAAGACAGAGGAAATTTTTAAAAAGACTTTTAATTAAAAAATTTAAATCCAGCAAAACTATCCTTTAAAAATGAAGGAGGAAACAAAGAATTCATTACTACTGAACTTGTCATACAAGAAACACTAAAGAAAGCTCTTCAGACTGAAATGAAAGGATGCTGGCAAGTAACTAGAATTTAAATGCAGAAATAAAGGGCACTGAGGAAGGTAACTAAATAAATATAAAAATAAATATATATTTTTGTTTTTAATTAGTTTGAAATAAAAAATATATTTTGTGTAATACTATGCAGGCATAAAAAAGAATGAGATCACGTCTTTTACAACGACATGGGGGATTAGGAATAATGGAGGCCATTATCCTCAGCAAGCTAATGCAAGAACAGAAAAACAAATACTGCGTGTTCTCACCTATAAGTGAGAGTTATATGATGAGAACACATGGACACATAGAGGGGAACAACACACACTGGGGCCTGTCAGAGAATGGGAGGAGGGAGAGGGTCAGGAAAAAAAAAACTAATGGATACTAGACTTAATGCTTAGGTGATCAAATAATCTGTACAACAAACCCTCAAGATACACATTTACCTATATAACATGACTGTACATTTTGTACATGTATCCTTGAACTTAAAATGTTAAATATATACATGTATATGTATATATATAGGTTGTAATATAAAAAGTTTTCAATTATTTTTATCCTATTCGAATTAAAAGACAGTTGCATAAAGCAATAGTTATAAATCTGTGTGAATAGGTACACAATGCATTAGAATGCAAATTGTATAATAGCACCAAGGGTGGGGGATGGAAAGAATTTATACAGAAATAATTCTGTATAAAATTTAATTTGGTATTAATCTGAACTAGATTATGTTAAATTAAGATATTAATTGCAATCCGCAAGGAAACCACTAATTTTTTTACTCTCCACCTATAGTAAAAGAAGCAACAAGGGAATTACAACAGTATTTTAGAAAATATCTAACCATGATAATAAATTTTATTAATCAATTTTTTAACATTGATGCATTTCTGGAGTAAATTCCACATGTTCATGCTACTGGATCCTTCTTACCACAATTTTACCTGAGATTTTTACATCAACATTCATAAGTGACACTGACGCGAGTGTGTTTTTATGATTGTGAAATCATATCACAAAATAACTTGAAAGCTTTTTTTTCAATTATCTGCAATATCTTGGCTAGCACTGACATTTTCTGATCTTTGACAGGTTTTTAGAAATCCCCTCTGCAACCATATTGTTTTCATGTTTTTCCTTTTCTAAACTCAATTTTTAAAAAATTTCTATTTATAATTTAGTGTATTTAAACTTTCTGTCTCTATTGAGATCATGTATTAGTCTGTACTCACGCTGCTAATAAAGACAAACTTGAGACTGGATTATTTATAAAGGAAAGATGTTTAATTGACTCAAGTTCAACATGGCTGGGGAGGCCTCAGGAAACTTACAATCATGGCAAAAGAAGAAACAAACACGTCCTTCTGCACATGAGGACAGCAAGGAGAAGTGCCAAGTGACAGGGGGAAAAACCCCTTATAAAGCTATCAGATCTCGTAAGAACTCACTATCAGGAGAACAGCAGTATGGCGGATAACCACTCCCATGATTCAATTATCTCCCACCAGATCCCTCCCAGGACGGGTGGAGATTATGGGAACTACAATTCAAGAAAAGATTTGGCTGGGCACAGTGGCTCACGCCTGTAATCCCAGTACTTTGGGAGGTTGAGGCGGTGGATCACCTGAGGTCAGGAGTTCAAGACTAGCCTGGCCAAGATGGTGAAACCCCGTCTCTACTAAAAATACAAAAATTAGCTGGGCATAGTGGCGGGCACCTGTAATCCTACTCAGGAGGCTGAGGCAGAGAATCGCTTGAACCCGGGAGTCGGAAGGTTGCAGTGAACCGAGATCATGCCACTGCACTCCAGCCTGGATGACAGTGAGACTCTGTCTCAAAAAAAAAAAAAAAAAAAAAAAAGATTTGGGTGGGGACACAGCCAATCCATATCAGATCATTTCTGATAAACTATAATTTTTCTAGAAAAACATGTATTCTAAATATGGTTCAAATATATTTGCATAACCTTCAATGACTACTGCTGGGAATACCTTTTGCAACATAGCACCACTGCTTTGGAATGCAATTTGACATTATTTTCTAAAGCTTAACATGCATGTGTACTGTGAACCAGCACTTCCACTCCTAGATATATATCCAACAGAACTGCATATATTACATATATGCACTAAAATATGTTGATTACTTGTCTTATGGTCCATAGAAATATGAAACAATGATGAAAGTGTGTTACTTTGAGAGATGCAGATGCCAAAATGCAAGGGTGAAGAAAAAGAAAAATAAAGCAAGGATAATGTAAAACATTGTAAGATGATGATTTACCTTGTAAGTTACCTTCTCATGCTGGTTAGTGAAGAATTTTATGGTTAACTGCTTCCAGTTGCCAGATAGGAATATTGAAGTGGAAATGCAAAAAGAAAATTTGTCTCAGGGTAGTCCAGGATGTGGAGGAAGGAAGATGAATTCTCCAACCTCTTGTTTTTCCATTGGTCAATTCCTGGCCTGTGGCCAGAGGTAACTCATTCTTGGCTCTCCTGTTTTGTCTTCTGATTTTATCTGGTGCCTATTCAGGATGCCAGATCCCAAACTCTGTGATTTGGTGTTTCATTTAAGAGTAGAGTAGTTAGAGGCCAGGCATGGTGGCTCACGCCTGTAATCCCAGCACTTTGGGAGGCCGAGGTGGGTGGATAACCTGAGGTCAGAAGTTCGAAACCAGCCTGGCCAGCACGGTGAAACCCCAACTCTACTAAAAATACAAAACTAGCTGCATGTGGTGGCACATGCCTGTAATCCCAGCTACTTGGGAGGCTGAGAAGGGAGAATCACTTGAACCTGGGAGGTGGAGGTTGCAGTAAGCCTAGATCACACCATTGCACTCCAGTCTGGGCAACAAGAGCAAAACTCCATCAAAAAAAAAAAAAAAAAAAAAAAAGTAGTTAGAGAAGCCAAAAACCCCAGGCCCAATAACCATTTGGTCCAGAATGATAATACATTTCAAAAGGAATCCACATAGCTGAGGAAATCTGAGTAAGCACCTAGGTTGTTTTGTGAGTCCAGTGTCAAGTACAAGAATGTTTATTGCTGTATTATATACAATAGCCTTAAATTGTAAATAATCCATATTACCACCAGTAGCATTATGAATAAATGGTGGTATTAAATGTAAAATGAGTTAAATTACTGCTACATGTAATGGAGTGAATCATTTCATTTTAAAATTTTGAGTAAAAGAAAGCACATGTGCAAATGTATAAATAATGTTATTTACATAAACATTTTAAAATTAGGCAAATTGATCTATAGTGTTAGAATGGTGCTTACCTTTAGAAAGTTGTGGTAGGGGAGGGGTGTTGAAAATGGGACATAAAAAGGACTATTGAACGAGTGCCAGTACTGTTTCTTGACCTAGGTGATGGTCAAATATGTTCATGTCATCAAGTTGTACACATAGAACTTTTGCACTTCTGAATATATATCAATAGAAAGTAGTTTAAAAATACAGATCCTTCTTAACTTACTCTGGGGTTACATTCCAATAAATCCATCGTAAGTTGAAAATAGTTGAAAAATAGTTGAAAACCTCTTGTTGAAAATAGTTGAAAATAGTTGAAAATCCAAAACTGGATTCCTTATAACAAGGACTCTCACTATGTGGCTGGCCAAAGGCAGAAGTTTGCTGCTTTGTCTCATGATATATGTGTCTGTGTGTGTATGTGTGCATATTACATGGTAGTTTATTTTGTTTAGTTGTTCAAACATCATGCTTTAGAGTCTTTTTTTATTTTTTAATCTTGAATAATTCCTATTCCTGGTTCCTTTCTTTTCTATATCTTTTCTGTTTTATAACTCATGTTTTAAAATAAAATTTTGTTTGTTATTCATTCTTTCATTTTTGCTTGTACTATTCTCTAGGTTTATGTGTTCTTTCAATTTTATAAAATTAAATGATATAAACATGTAATGCTATAGGCTTTTCTTTCCATAGACTTATAGATTCTGATGTCATGTTTTCAGCATCAATCTGTTTCAAAAATTCTTCAGCTTACATATGTTTCCCCTTTGACCCAAGTAATATTGAATAGTATTTTCCTAATTTCTCATCAGAGAATCTTTTTAAACAAGATATTAATTTCTAATGGTACGGCACTGTGGTCAGCAATGCTGCCAGATTAACTATGTTATTTTAATTTATTGAGCTTTATCTTGTGTCCTCAGATTTGATGAGTTTCCATGAATGCTATATATGCATTGTTTTATTATACATGCTCTATTTTCAGAAATCAAAGTTTAAAGGGTAACTATCATATGTACTTCATATATTTTATTACTTAGTTAGCTATGTTATGAGGTAAGTTGGGACCATTAATCTTCCTTTAAATGAGTGGCATTTGGGGTGCCACATTTAAAACTTATATATATGACCGGGAGTGGTGGCTCATGCCTGTAATCCCAACATTTTGGGAGGCTGAGGCGGGCAGATCACCTGAGGCCAGGAGTTCAAAACTGGCCTGGCCAACATGGTGAAACCCCATCTGCACTAAAAATACCAAAATTTAACTGGGCCTGGGGTTGGGCACCTGTAATCCCAGCTACTTGGAAGGCTGAGGCAGAAGAAATTCTTGAACCTGGGAGGCAGATACTGCAGTGAGCTGAGATTATGCCATTAGACTCCAGCCTGGGCAACAAGAGTGAAACTGCATCTCAAAAAAAAAAAAAAAAAACTTATATATATGCATATACATACACACATTTGGGTACTTAAGTATATTTTAACTACTGAGTATCATTTCATTATATCAGTGTAATAAATGCACCACAGGGTTTTTCAAAATTCATGTTCTGTTGATAGATATTTAGGTTACTTCAAGTGTTTTGGCTATTATAAGCAAAATTGTTATAAATATTATTGTACAAGTTATTTTTTAATAGTTTACATTTCTTTTGGACAAATATCTAGGAATTCAAATGTTTAGTACTATGGTAATTTTATGCTTTTTCTTCCTAAAATATTGCCAAAGTGTTTTCCGAAGTTGCCGTACCATTTTACCATTGACCAGCAATGTATGTTAGTTTCTCTATATCCTTGTCAACACTTGGTATTGTTGATCATTTCGATTTAAGTCATCCTAACTGCATTGAATTTTTAATTTCCACTCTCCCCATTATAAATGAATATATTTTCATATGTTTGTAATTATTATAAATGAAGTGTTGGTTCCAGTACTTTACCCATTCTTCCTGGCTTATTTGTGTTTTTATTATTGATTTGTAGGAGCTTTTAATAAATCTATATACAATCTTTTGCAAGTTATATGTACTACAAAGCTGTTCGCTCTCTGTTTTCCTTGCTATTGCATTTTGTTGTGTCTTTTGTTGAAAAGCAGCTTTTTTATTTTAATAAAGTCATTATAAATTTTTCTTTTATAATTTATAATCTTTTCATCTACTAAAAAATTTGCCTATTCCCAAAACAGGAAGATCTTTTCCCATGTCCTCTAGATGTTCTTTTTTTAATTTTTACTTTTTACGTGTAGGTCTATAATTCATCTTTATTAACTGATGTGTATGTCTAGAGTTAGAAATTGAGTTTATTTATTGTTTCTAGTATTAACACAGTTGCTAGCATCATTTGCTGAAAGTACTTTCTTTTCCCCGTTGAATTGCCTTGGAAGCATCATCAAAAATCAGTATACTTTCTATATTTCCTACTTTCTTCCACTAGTTGATTTTTCTATTCTTTCAGAAATATCGCATCCTCTTGAGTAAGATGGTCTTATCATAAGCTTTAAGATCAGTAGTGTTAATTCTCCAACTTTATTCTTATATTTTAAAATTTTTGTCTTCAAATTTCCATAAAATGTTAAGCATTGACTGTCAAATTTTATACAAAAAGTCAATCCTTAAATGTGATATATATTAATTAAGTCTTTATTTCTCTCAGCAAGATTTTTATTTTTCATTATAGTGGTCTAATACCTCTTTTGTCAAATTTGTGCTTAAGTATTTTATTTTTTGATGTTACTCCAAATGGTATTTTCAAATCAACTTTATTAAGCCATAATTTACATATAGCAAAATCCATACATTTTAAGTTTATAGTTCAATTCATTTAGAAAAATATTCATATCCATATAACCATGCTGCAGTTAAGATATAAAACTTTTCACTTTGTTTTTTCAAAATCTCTTTAATTCTTTTTAAAGTCAATCCCCATACCTTCCTCCCCAGGCACACTTGAATCTTATTTCTATCATTAGTTTTATCTGATGTAGAACTTCACATATGGAATCATATAGTACTCATTCCTCTGTTTATACCTATTATGTTTATCATGTGCTTTTGAAAAAAATAATCATCCATGGTTTGATGTATCAGTATTTCATTAAAAAATAGTATTTCATTTTTGTTGCCTGGACCATGACATTAAAGATTCCTTTCTGTATTTACTCTGCCCACTATACCTGAGTTATGTTTCTTATACCCAGGTTTCTTCTCTGCTTACCTTCACACCAGCTAAATGTAGCAAAGAGGCATCACCTCCAGCCATGTTATATAATCTGCTGAGCTGTGGTTTTTTATTTATGGCTTTTTTACTGGCACTATTTTTCAACAGAGATAGCAGATTTCACTTGTTTATCTGCAAAATAAAAATGAATTTAAGCACAGTTTCTTCTATCCAGAATCCCCCTTATCTAGTACCCACCTTAATCCCTCTGAATTAGGCTTATTTGCTGCGTCTTGACTCACTTCTACACATTTCTCTCAAAACTGCATGTATTTATGAAGTTTTGATCTGGACTTTAGTATTTTTATTAATGTGGCCAATTTTGCACCATAGTGTGAATAACCTTCTTTACATTTCTGTGATCATGAATACATCTTTATCTTCTGTCCTGTGTTATAAGATTTTCTACATATTTGTATTTTTTTATACAACTTAAATTGTGGTTTTGCATGGGTCAAGTGAGATTACCCTGAGAACATTTTTGCTACATTTTTGAGGTTCATGATTATACTCTCACCCACACACAGTATGCACACACATACACATACATTTATTTAAATCCAGTGTACATATTATTTTCAAAATATGTATTCCTTGAATGACTGTACCTTAACTGAAAACAATAATCTGAAAATTTTCAAGCTATGCATTGAAAGAGGGAATACTTCAGTAGGCATATATTAGAAAGGCATAACAGTCCTTGATCTCAAGGAGTCTGTACTCTAGTAGGAGAGACATATGTATGAACAAGTGGCCACAATATAATGCATTGAGTTTTATGACTAATGCATGTCCAAGAGGATATGGAAGCACATGAAGGAGGAATCCTTGATAAACTGGTGTGAGATTTAAAGGCAGGTCAGGCAAGATTCTCTTGAAGAAGTGATAACCAAATTCTCCAGACTAAAAGGAAAATACAAAACTATTAGTTACTGTTAGCGCTCTTTGAAAAGATGTGAAATAAAGAGTGAGAGAGACTGGTTGATTGAGGGGAATATCACATTTAATTATTCACATAAAGGTAAAATATAGTTGATATAGGAATGCTATGTAAAGTAGCATCCAGAACTTATAGAATTTAAATTTGACTCATGGGAAAACGCTTTCTGAAATTTGAGCTGCATAAACAGTCAAGCAAACAACATTATATAAATATGTATAAATGAGGAGTGTTGCTAACAATGTGTTTGTTCACCTTACATTCTAATGTCACACTACTAGTACTTCATAACAAATCAATGCTAACTGTTAATTGCGTACTTTCCAATGTGTTTTGCATCCAGCTATAATAATAATAACTTAAGTTTTTTAGTCATATTGAAAATGAAACAGGATGAATAGCCTCAATGTGCTGTTTTTAAAGGGGATATTAGTTTTAAAAATGAGAATAGGTCTCATAATATGTTAGCTTCCTGTAGTGATATGTTGCTATCCGCCTATTTTCTGGAGCTGTATTTTCAGAAAATAGTAGTACACACATAGAATTACTGTTGGGAACTGATAATAACTGAGTTTTCTTGCTTAAATCCACTAGTCTGTAGAACTTTCCAGAAAAAAAAAAAAGTTACTCAAGAGTCTTGTTTGGAGATGATTTTTACTGTTTATTTAGAAGAACAGAAATGTATGAAATTAAATACATGGTTATCCATTAATTTAGTCTTTCTTTCAAGTGAAGCGTGGAATCAAACATAAAATAAAAGAGAAATATCCAGAGATAAGTCAAGGATGATGTCAAAGAAAGGTTTCCCTGCTACAGACTGAATGACTGAGTTCCCCCCAAATTTATATGTTAAAGCATAATCCCAATATGATGATAGTAAGAGGTAGGGCCTTTGAAAGGTGATTAGATCATGAGGGTGGAGACCTTGTGATAGGGCTTAGTGCCCTTATAAAAGAGACCTCAAAGGATGTCCTTAGCCCTTTCATCATGTGAAATGACAGCAAGAAGATAGATGTTTATGTACCAGGAAATGGGCTCTCACAAGATACCATATCTGCTGGCACCTGATTTTAGACTTCTCAACTTCCAGAACTGTGAGAAGTAAATTTCTGTTGTTTATAAGCCACCGAGTCTATGATATTTTTGTTATAGGAGCTCAAATGGACTAAGATGATTCCATTTCACATTTAGCTTGGATTTAGACCTGCACTGAAAGAAGATAAGAAAAGACTAATCTGAGCAAATATTTCTAAACCCTTTGAGCTTTCCCAGGGCTAATGCAGTACTGGTAGGTGGGGTGTATACTTTGGGCTAGTTTATCTCTCTAAGAGGGTCACATTAGGGCACTTCTTGTCCTTTCTAAATAAGTTAATAGTGTCCCTGACAGACATTTGCCACTCTGATGTCAGCAGTAGTCTATTCTCTGCTTCGAATTGCAGAAGAGTCCTCTTTTGTAGTTGACTCATTTTTTTTAGCCTAGTAACTCTTAAAATCTGTAAGACTGTCTTCTTAAATTGAAATTTGCTCTCATTTGGAAATTGGCTTTAATTTTCAAATTGATATCTCCTTTTCCTTTGTATGTATCCAAAAGCTACGTTGTGTTATATTCAACTTTTTGCATCTACTGATGTTTTAATATTTAGGTTTAACATAGTCTTTCTTTTCTTTGGGTCTACTACTTTTTTGGTTTGCTTTATTTTTTTAAAAAAACCTATTCATCATTCTGAATTCAAGCATTCTCTTGAGTCTGAAAAACAGTTTGGCCTTTATGGGTATTTTTCATGAACAAATATCTGGCAGCTTGATGCTATCCCATTTCCAAATGATTGCTTTCTTAATAGGCACTTTGAACACAAAAAAAGAATAGTATTTAGATGTCTGTTTTTGCTACTAAAAGTGGCAGTAAACTGTTTAATATCCTTCTAAAGAGAAAAGCTTGTCTTTTATGTTTTTAAAGATCTTTTCTATTTAAATATAAATAGAAGCTTTCTTTGAAAATCATTTTCAGTTCATTAATCCTTAAATTGTGCTATATCTAATGTGAGAAAGTTACATATGAGGTGACTTACCTAGATATATTTCTCCAGCTTTTTCTAAGAGTTGTCTTCAATGGTTCAAGTGGTAAATAGTAAGGAGATAGCAGTATCTCTAAACATAGTAATTTAACAGTCAATATACTATCATATAAAGCATAAAAGCAGTAAAAGTACAACTTCTCCTTCTGGGAAAAGGGGATTACCAGAAACTGGATTTACTTTCTTGCCTAAAACAACAAGAAGAAACAAAAGTTGTGTGGGATAATGGTTTGTATGTTAGGGAGCAAAAAAACAGTGATCCATGGGAGAAAAGAAATCAAAAGCTGTGCTTTATGATTGTCTCAGCTTATTTTTTGAATAAATTTCCAATCCGCAAAGTAGAGAGGAAGAATCTAGCTGAATTCTGGCAAACTCCTTAGGTTGAGAAGACCAAACTCAAAGCCTGAAGAGACCAAAGCAACTTCAATTGTTACTGCAAAGTTCAAAAGAAATTAAATTGCACCGAGAGTTCTAGAGATTTATACGGGGTCCCTTCTGCATTACATCTTTAGCAGTGTGCTGATCAGGTTATGCATGTGAGGAAACTGCATATGGCAAGGAAAGGAATGACATGCCATGGTTGGTGAAAGAATGTGCAAAGCTCAAATATGGTCAGTCAAAACTACCAGACAGACTGGGAAACTCTTAATTCATGGAGAATTAAATAGAGCACAGAGAAGGATTTGCCTTGATAATTTGAAAAAAAAAAATAGTCAAGGACTAAAGGCTACTTTAGTCTCAATTGGAAAATCCCAATTAAAGCCAAGACCTGAAATGCTCAAACCATTTGCAGGTAATCCCACGCCAGAACAAAGCACAATATTTATAGAAATATGAAAATATTCAACACCCAACCAAGAAAATTCAAAATGTCTAGCTCCCAGTAAAAATTTCCAGATGTGTAGAGCAGCCAGGAAACTATCATCCCATACTAAGAAGAAAAATCAGTCAATTAGAACAGATGTGGAACTGACAAAGATGTTAGAATTAGCAGACAAGTACTTTTATGTGTTTTTGTAACTTTTTATAAGTTAAATAAGCTAGAAGAAAGATTGAAAATATAAAGTGGAAATGTTAACCACACAAACAAATGAACTCAGAAGCCCACAAGAATCTAGACATAGACTTTATGCTCCACAAAAGTAACTCAAAGTGGGTCAGTTATTAAACATAAATTTAAAATACAAAAACTGTAATATGCAGAAGATAACATAGGGAAAAATCTAGGTGACTTTGGGTTTGATAATGACATTTCAGATACAACACTAAAAATATAACCTATAAAAAAACTGGTAAATTGGATTTCACTCAAATAAACACTTGGCTCTGTGAAGAACATTGTCATGGAAATGAGAAGAGAAGTCACAGACCTGGAAAAATATTTGCAAAATACATATCTGATAAAGAACTGTTATTCAAAATACAGTCATGTGTCAGTTAATAATGGAGACATATTCTTAGAAATGTATTGCTAGGCAATTTTATCATTGAGCATCATAGAGTGTAGTTACACAAACCTAGATGATATAGTCTACTACACACCTTGGATGTATGATATAGCTTATTGATCCTAGGCTACAAATTTGCACACTATGTTACTGTAATAACTACGGTAGGCAATTCTAACATGACAGTAATTATTTATGTATCTTAACATATCTAAACATAGACAAAGCACAGTAAAATATGATATTATAATCTTATGGGGACCAAAGACAAACCATATAATTTTACAGTTGTTACGTGGTACATGACTGCATACGAAGGACTAACTCAACAGGTAAACAATTATCGAACAACTAAGCTCAGCAATAAGAAAATAAACAACTCAAAACATGGACAAAAGACCCAAGAACAGATAGATGTCTTACCAATAATTATATTAATATGAGAAATAAACATATGAAAAGATTTTCATCATCACATATCATTAGGAAATTGAAAATTAATAAGATATGAGTACATACCTATTAGAATGCAAAAAATCAAAACACTCATAATACTAAATACTAGGAGGATGAAGAGCAGCAGGAACTCTCATTCATTGTTGGTGAGAATTCACAATGGTACAGACACTTGTCAAGACAATTCAGCAGTTTTTACAAAACTAATCATACTCTTACCAAGTGATTTACCAATTGTTTTCCTTGATATTTACCCAAATGAGTTGCAAACTTATGTCCATACAAAATTTGCACATATTTTTATAGCAGCTGTATTTATAATAGCCAAAAGTTGGAAACAACCAAGATGTCCTTCAATAGGTGAAAGAATAAAGTGCTGCATCCATAAAATTGGAAATTATTACATGCTAAAAAGAAATGAGTTATCTAGCCAGGGAAAAGATATGACGGAAACATAAATGCAAATTAATAAGTGAAAGAAGTCAATCTGAAGGGGCTATATACCATATCAATCCAATGTCAAGACATTCTGGGAAAGGAGAAACTATGGAGACAGTAAAACGATCAGTGGTTGCCGGAAGTTCAGGGGGAGAGAAGGAAGGATGAATGAATGGAGCACAAGGGGGAGTTAGGGCAGATAAATTACGTTATATGATGCTATAATGGTAAGTACTTGCCAGCAAACATCTATTCATATCCATAGAATGAATAGCACAGTAAATAAATAAACTCTAAGGCGAATGTTAGACTTTGGTTGATAATGATGTGTCAATGTTGGTTCATCAGTTCTAAAAATTGTACCACACTACTGTGGGATGTTGATGGTGACAGATCTTTGTGTAGAAAAGGAAAGGGTATCTGGGAATGCTCTGTAATTTTCTCTCATTTTTTTTTCTGTGACCCTAAAGTTTCTCTGGAAAATAGAGTCCATTAATTTAAAAAAACAATCAAACCTCTAGAGATAAAGATTACAGTATCTGAGGTAAAAATACATTGGCTGGTATTAAAGGGATTTTATACATGACAGGATAAGAGGTTATTGAACTAGAACATAGAGCAATAGGACTAAAATGAAGCACACTGAGACAAAAAAAAGAACATAGCTTCAGTTATCTGTGGGAAAATTCATCTGCAAAGTCTGAGGTGAGGTGGAGGAAGAAAAATAGATATAAGAATAACTTGTTTTCAAATTTGATGAATACGATAAACCTACAGATGTCAGAAGTTCAACAAACCCTAGGTATAAGAAATATTTTAAAAGGACACCATTACATCACAATATGACTGCTCAAAACTAACGATTAAAAATATATTCGAAGAAGTGATAAAAGTAATGACATTATGTACACAGGAACAAAAATAAAAATGATAGAAGATTTCTCAGTAATCTGCAGGTAAGAAGACAATAGAGCAATATTGTTAAAGTATTGGAAAAAATACTGTCAGCCAAGAATTCTACACATAGATGAAATATCTTTTAAAAATAAAAGCGAAATATTTTTTTAGGTATACAATGCCAAAAGAATTAATCATAGACATATTTACTTTGTAAGAAATGATTTTTAAAGATTCTTTAATCAAAAGAAATATACCACATGAAGTATAGAGGTACATAAGGAATAAAAAAACTGGAAATGGAGACTACATAAGTAAATATATAATATATATTTTAATTACTTAATTCTCCAAAGGTGAATAGACTTTTTAAATAAAAATAATGATTTATGTGGTATATAACACAGAAGTAAATAGTGATATATATAATGAGAATTACATAAGGCTCAGGAGGGAAGAAATGGAAGTATACTACTGTCAACTCCTTGTACTATATATAAAATGATGTAATATTGCTGAAGGTAGGCAATGGTAAGTCAATGATGTGCATTTTAAACTCTAAAGGAAAACATATAATAAAACAGTATAAATTTAATAGGAAATAAATTGGATTGAAATATAGTCAGTTAATACAAAAGCATGCAAAACCATAGGAAAAGAAGGAGATAATACACAAATAGAAAGTCAGAAAACAAACAACATCTTGGTACATTTAACCCTAACCATATCAATAGTCTCACAAAAAGAGAATATCAGATTGTATTTTAAAAAGTAACATCCAACATATGTTGTCTGCAATAGCTTATTTTAAATATAAAGGCAATAATAGGTTATAAATCAAAGGATGGAAGAGATAAGCTGTGATAAAACTAATTATTTGAAAACTATGTTGTCTGTATTAATAACAGAGAAAGTTGATTTCAGAGTAAATAACATGTCCATGGCTCACGATGATCATTTCATAATGATCAAGTGTTCAATTTTTTTTTTTTTTTTTTTTTTGAGACATAGTCTCGCTCTCTTGCCCAGGCTAGAGTGCAGTGGCGCGATCTCAGCTCACTGCAAGCTCCGCCTCCCGGGTTCACGCCATTCTCCTGCCTCAGCCTCCCGAGTAGCTGGGACTACAGGCGCCTGCCACCACGCCCGGCTAATTTTTTTTGTATTTTTTAGTAGAGACGGGGTTTCACCGTGTTAGCCAGGATGGTCTCGATCTCCTGACCTCGTGATCCGACCGCCTTGGCCTCCCAAAGTGCTGAGTGTTCAATTTTTTAAGAAAATACAATTCTAAGTGTTTATACATCTAATAACAGAATTTCAAAATAAATGAGGCAAAAATTGATAGAGAAAAATAGGCAAATACACAAATATAGTATACAATTTCAATTCCCTCTCTCAAAAACTGATGTAATAAATATTAAAAATATTTTAAAAATTAAATAGAATATTTAAGACTTAAAAAAGCAACTGTCACACAACTTGACCTAAGTAACATTTTAACATTCCCCAAATTGGAGATTTTCGTTCTTTTCATGTTCCAAATATAATATAATATATAAACAATATTCTGATCCATGAAACAAGTTTTAGTAAATTTTAAAAGATTTAAGTAATATACTGCATGTTCTCTAATCACTTAAATTACACATAAATAACAAAAAAACTTTCTGAAAAATTTCTGCATTTTTGGAATCTACATACTATACTTCTAAATTACCCATGGATCAAGTAAGATATAAAAAGGGAAAGTAGAAGATATTTTAAGCTGACTAAAAATGAAAGCACATGTATTGAAAAGAAAAAGAAGTCTCGAAACAATTATGTCAATGTCCATCTTATTAAACTATAAAAAGGAGAGCCAGCTGAATCCAAAGCATGCAAAAGGAAAAAAATGATCAAAATCAGAGTGGAAATCAGTGATGTAGGTAACAGTAAAACAATAGAGAACATCAATGAAGCCAAAACTCATTCTTAGAGCATATTAATAATATTGACAAATCTATAGTAATACTAGGGGAAAAAAGAGAGAAGACATAAATTGTAATACTCAAGAATCAGAGGTATGGCATCCATACAGATTCTACAAATGATAAAAGGATAATCATGGAATAAGGCAACTTTATGTCAATATTTTTAACAAGTCACATTAAATAGACAAATTTTTTTGAAAGAGAAGCACTAAAACTCACTACAGGAAAATAATATAACCTTAATAGTTCTATATTGATTTTTCAAATTTAAATTTATAATATTTCTACAAAGAGACCTCCAGGACCATATGGCTTCAATAATAAATTCTAACAAATATTTAAGGAAGAAATAATACCAATTTTTCAAATACAAACTTCCAGAAAATTGAGAAGGAAAGACTACTTCTATATTCATCCTATGGAGTTAACATCTTGATACCAAAACCAGAAATTACAGTTAAAAAAAACTATAACTATGTATAAATACAAAATTTCTCAAAAGATTTAGCAAATCAAATTTAACAATATATAAAATGGCAGTACAATATTACTAAGTTAAGCTTATCTCAAGAATGTAAACTTTTTTTGACATTTAAAATGGTGACATTTATATCACCACATATATGTGTATAAAGAAAACAAAACATGCTGTATACCTTAAATGTATATAATAGAAGCAAAACAGTAACATTTATGAAAATAAAAACACTGAAATTTGAAAATATGTGACAGTTTTAAAGCCCACTAATGAAGCGTCACAAAGGTGTTACAAATAGAATATTTTAAATATATTCAAGCTTGATTTTCACCTACTTTGGAGCATAAATAAAGTCAGGGATCTGAAACATTGCAAACTTACATCATTCCACAGATTTTGGTTTGGTGCTTCTTTTTTTAAAAAAAATTATTTATTTTTATTTCAATAGGTTTTTGAGCAACAGGTGGTGTTTGGTTACATGAAAACGTTTTTTAGTGGTGATTTCTGGGATTTTGGTGCACTCATCACCCGAGCAGTGTAGACTGTACCCAATGTGTAGTCTTTTATCCCTTGCCACCTTCCACCCTTTCCCTGGAGTACCCAAAGTCTATTGTATTGTTTTTATGCCTTTGTATACTCATAGCTTAGCTCCCACAGATGAGTGAGAACATACAATGTTTGGTTTTCCATTCTTGAGTTAATTCACTTGGAATAATAGTCTCCAATTCCATCCAGGTTGCTGTGAATGCCATAATTTCGTTTCTTTTTTATGGCCGAGTGGTATTCCATGGTGTGTGTGTGTATATGTCACATTTTCTTTATCCATTCATTGATGGATGGGCATTTAGACTGGTTCTATATATTTGAAATTGCAAATTGTACTTCTATAAACATGAATGTGCAAGTATCTTTTTCGTATAATGATTTCTTTTCCTATAAGTAGATACCTAGTACTGGGATTGCTGGATCAAATGATAGATGGATTTTTAGTTCTTTAAGGAATCTCCACTATGTTTTCTATAGCGGTTGTACTAGTCTACATTCCCACTGACTGTGAAAGTGTTCCCTTTTCACTGCATCCACAACAACATCTATTGAAAGTCAATCAATATAATTTATCATGTTAACACACTAAAATATAAAAGTCATGTAATTATTTCCATAGATATAGAACATATCTTTTGACATCATCTTACATGCATTTCTAGTTTTTTAGTAAAGCAACTATGCAAACCATGAGTAAAAATAAATAATTCAACTTAATAAAGAGCATTTTTACTTAGTGTTGAAAGATTAAATCCTTCTCCCAAGAAGCAGGCATAGGACAAGAATGCTTACTGACAATACAATTATTTAACATGTTATGGAGGTACTAGCTAATTTAATACAGCAAGTAAAGAAAATAAAAAGATTCTAGATTAAATAGGATGAAGTATTAATCCTCCTTTCCAGTGATGATATAATTTCTCTATAGAAAATATGATAAAAAATTTTAAAGCTACTAGAACTAACCAGTCTGTCTGGCAATGTTGCAGGACACAAGATTTATACATATTAAACATGATGAAAATCAATGTAATACACCATATCAATGGAATAAAGGACAATTCATGCAATCATCTCAATAGATAATGAAAAATGTTTGGCAAAATCTAAGATATTTTCATGATTAAACACTAGAGAAAGAAGGCAACTCCTTCAGTCAGATAAAGAACATTTACAAAAACCTTCAGCTAACATTATATTTAATCATAAAAGAATAAAAGTTTTCCCCCTTAGAACAGGAGCAAGACAAGGCTGTCCTCTCTGTCTACTTTGATAAAATTTTGTAATAATGTTCTAGCCTAAACAATTAGGTTCTAATAAAAATAAGAGCCATTCAGATAGTAAAGGGAGAAGTAAAATTCTCTCTATTTTCAGATGACATAATTTTGTTTACATAAAATTCTAAATAACACACAATACACACTATTAGACATATAACCATTAGCTCTAATAAACTAATTCAGCAAGTTTGCAGGATACAAGTTCAATATACAAAAATCAACTATACCTCCAAACACTAGCAGTGAACAATCTAAAAATAAAACTAAAGAACCAATTCCATTTACAATAGTATCAAGCAAAATAAAATATTTAGGAATAAATTTAAAAGGAGAAGACGTGTACTGAAAACTACAAAATAGTAATTAAAATAATTAAAGAAGACCTTAATAAATGAAAAACAATCTCAGGTTAAAGGCTCAATATTGTTAATATGTGGCAATACTCCTCAAATTTTTCTATACATTCAACCTAATCTCTATCAATATCCCAGGTGAATATTTTGCAGAAATGGAAAAACTAATACTAACTTTCATATGGAAATGTACGAGACCCAAAACAGCCAAAGCAATGTTGAAAAATGACAAGTTTGAAGGACTCATAGTTTCTAATTTTGAAATTTACTAAAAACTTCCACTAATCAAGACAGTGTGGTACTGACTTAATTATAGGCATATAGATTAATAGAATGATATGGGAACTCCAGAAACAGACAAATTTATTTACTGTCAATTGATTTTTAGAATGGTGCCAAAATGGGAAAAGAATATTGCTTTCAACAAACGATACTGAAATCTCTAGATACCCATAGGTAAAATGAAGTAGTAACCCTTCACACCATATACAAGAATTAACTAAAAATAGCATAAAGACCTCAATGTGAATTGAAAGTATAAAACTTTTGGAAGAAAATATAAGTGTAAATCTTTGAGACCTTGGATTAGGCAATGGTTTATTAAATATGACACCTAAAACACAGAAACAAACAAAAAATAGGTAAGTTTGACCTCATTAAAATTAAAAATATTTGTGCCTCAAAGGATACTATAATGAAAGTGAAAAGTTGTTTCATTCAGAGAATTCAAGAAAATATTTGCAAATCATATGTCTGATCAGTCTATTATATGTAGTATATAAAGAACTCAAATTAACACTAAAAATACAAATAATCCAATTAATAAACAAGAAAAGAATTTGAATAGACATTTCTCCAAAGAAGGAATAACTGTATAAAGGGCCAATAAGCACAGGAAATGATGCAGAAAGTCATTAGTCATTAGGGAAATACCAGTAAAAATGACAATAATATGCCATTTCACACCTATTAGGATGGCTGTAAATTTTTAAAGTAAATAATAACACATTATTGTGGTTGTGGAGAAAATGGAACCCTCAAATATATACATATATATGTATATACATATACATACATATATGTATGTATATGTATATAACCCTCAAATATATACATATATACGTATACACGTATACATATATACATATATATACACATATATATACGTATATATACGTATACACATATATACATATATACGTATATATACACATATAAGTATATACGTATATATTATATATATATTTTTTTTACTGGTTGGAATGTAAAATGATGAAACCACTTTTAAATATACTTCAGCAGGTCCTCAAAAAAGTTAAACTTTGAGTTATAAGACCCAGCAATTCCTCTTATAGAACTAAAAACGTTTCACACAAAAATATGTAGATGAATTTTCATAGCATCATTTTCAACAATAGCCAAAAATGTGGAAACAACCAAAAAGCACATCAATGGATAAATGAATAGGCAAAATTTAGAATATCCAAACAATGGAATATTATTTAACCATACAAGGAATAAAGTACTGAAACATGCTACCACATGGATAAGCCTTGACAGCATTATTTTTATGGTTTAAATGTCTGTCGGCCTCAAAGTTCAAAAATCATTTGTAAATTTAATCCCCAAGCAACAGTATTAAGAGTTGGAGCTGTTAGGAGGTGATTAGGCCACAAGGAGTCTACCCTCATAGCTAACATTAGTGCCTTATAAAGGGCTGGTCCAGGAAACTAACTAGGCTCTTTTTGCTTTTTAATCCCTTCTGCCATGTGAGGACATAGCATTCATCCCTTTTGGAGGATGTAGCAACAAGGTACCAACTGGAAAGTAAACATTAGACTTTCACCTGCCACCAAACCTGCCAGAGCCTTCATCTTGGAATTCCTAGCTTCTAGAGCTGCAAGAAATACATGGATATTGTTTATAAATTACTCAGTCTCAATTACTTTCTTATAGCAGCACAAAGGAACTAAGAAAATTATACTAAGTAAAAGAAGTGAGATACAAAAGATCACGTTGTATGTCTCCAGACTTGGGTCCATAGAGACAGAAATTAAATTAGTGGTTGCCAAGGCTGAGGGAATGTGTGGAGGGAGGATGACTGCTAATGGATGCAGGGTTTATCAATTGTATTTAACAAACTACTGGAAGTTAAACTTTACAGCAGCATCACATATAAAATAATCAGAATAAATCTGATGAATTTCAAGACCTGTATATTAAAAACTAAAAACAGATAGCTGGGAAATTTAAAGTAGCTCTAAATTAATGGAGTGATATGCCCTGTTAATGGGTTGGAAAAAATAATATCACTAGGATGTCAATTCACTTCAAATTTATCTATATTTTCAAAGCCATTCAAATCAAAACTGCAGAAGATTTTTCATTAAGAAATTGTAAACATGATTTCAAAATTTATATGAAAATGCATAGAACAAAAAATGACTAATATAACTGTAAAAATAAGAACAATATTGCAAGAATATTACCTGATTTCAAACTTTATTATAAAGTAACAATCATCAAAACAATGTGGTATTATTGTCAATAATTGTTAGAAACAAAATACTTAATAAATCACTGAAATTTTTTCAGAAATTACCAAAAATTAAGTAAGTCCAAACATTATACATCAGCAGAGAGAGGTCATTCTCCCCAGCCCACTTATAACTTTAAATTGTATAATTTAAAACCAATGTGAGATTGTTTGAGTAGGAGTAAGAACTTTTTTCACGAAAAGTATCAATACAGAAATTGATAAATTGGCAAGCAATACAGTCATGTGTCAGCTTAATTTTGAATTAAATACAAATATTTTTCAAAAAAGTTCTAAAGGAGTTTTGTGATTACATTTTATAAATGTTGATCCAGTTGATCACTTGTACTTTACAGGTGTCCCCAACCCCTGGGCTGTGGACTGGTACTAGTCCCCAGACTGTTAGGAACCAGGCCACACAGAAGGTGAGCTGCGGGTGAGCAAGCATTACTGCCTGTGCTTTGCCTCCTGTCAGATCAGCTGGGCATTACATTCTCATAAAAGCGAGAACCCTGTTGTGAACAGCACAGTGAGGGATCTAGATTGTGGGCTCCTTATGAGAATCTAATGCCTGATGATCTGAGGTGGAACAGTTTCATCCCAAAACCATGTCTCATCCCATTCAATCCCATCACTGTCCCTGGAAAAATTGTCTTCCACAAAATAGGGCCCTGGTACAAAAAGGTTGGGGACTGCTTCTATAGAACATGTTTCTTATGTTTCTTTTAGGTAAATGCATGCTGCCTTCTTTATTTTCTGTAATTCTAACTTTGTTTACTGTTACACTTTTCATATGTTATTATTATTTGTTTCCTGATTAGTTTAAGTCATAAATGAAAGCAGATGTGAAACATTATCATTCATTTTATAATCGATAGACCTTACAAGTAGGTGAATCAATTATAAACACTGTGAGTTGGTCTAAATTTCATAGATTCTTACGGGGTCAGTATCTTCTTGGAAAATCAGATTTCCTTCACAAAATGTAGATGAATCACTCTCCAATAAATATTTAAGGAATTGCAGCAGTACAGTGTTGTCATTAAATTGCTATTTGTGAGTGACACTTTTGAAATCTGTGATTATTCATGTAATTTTGAAACATTAAAGGCTCTAATGTCAGCAAAAATAACTACAGAATTTTTGCAGAGTAGGAGTGCTACATACTGAAATAAGCATTTACATGATATGATTTTAGACTAGTTACATAAATGCAATTCCAAATGTCCTTTTAATATATGCAAGGCATCTTTCTGGAAACTACCAGAAAACATTGATCACAAAGATAATGCTTTCTAATTACATGATCCAAGTGTTGTCATAGGCTAACTCACTTGATTCTCTGTACAACCATTAGCAACTGTAATCTCCATTACAGATGGGAAAGCTAAGGAATAGAAAGATTAAGTAACTTTTCCAGGTTTAAACAACAGGTGTACTATGATTATATAAGAAAATAAAAGCAGCCTGACTCTCAGGTAGGTTACTTTTCTAGTAACTCTCTTCAGATATGACTGGAAATGGCATAAGTGATTACCGCCTCAAAACATATATCTGTAACATGTATAACCTATTTTTTTTTTAGCTTGAGATATAAACAGAGTTTCTTCTCCATTTAAACTGGAAGTAATCACAACTCTGAAGCCATAGCTGCCAAGTTAACAGGAAGTCCATATTTACCTACATTCCCTCCCATCGGCTTTCTTGTGTCTCTAAGATTGCCCAGAAAGATTTATTTATGTCTTAGAATTTGTCTCACTTGTCCTTGCTCTCTGCTGCTGTATCAAGAACTCAGAGAACTCTGCAACCCCTAGCCTGCTGGAATGGTTGTTCCTGGGCTACTATTGTCTATCCATAAACTGGATATTTACATGCCTGCACCTTATACAACAACATTATGATTTCATATTGAAACACAAGGGATAAAACATCTTGCTGATTGTGGACCCAGGAAATCTGAGACAGGTCTTAGTTAATTTAGAAAGTTATTTTGAAAGTTTATTTCTAAATTAAAGTTTAATAAAATTTAAACTTTAATTTAGAAAGTTTATTTTGCCAAGGTTGAGGATGCATGCCCATGATACAGCCTCAGGAAATCCTGACAATATGTACCCAAGGTGGTCAGAGCACAGTTTAGTTTATACCCAAACTGTTTGTTTAAACAGACATGAGACATCAATCAATATATGTAAGAAGTACATTGGTTCGGTCTGGAAAGGCGGGAGATCTCGAAGGAAAAGCAGGAAGACTGGAAGCTGGAAGCAGGGAGGGGGCCTCCTGGTCACAGATAGGTGAGAGGCAAACTGTTGCATTATTTTGAGTTTCTGATTAGCCTTCCCAAATGAGGCAATCAGATATGCATTTATCTCAGTGAACAGAGGGATAACTTGCAACAGAATGGGAGGCAGGTTTGCCGTATGCCTTTCCCAGTTGAATTTTCCCTTTAGTTTAGTGATTTTGGAGGCCCAAGATATTTTCTTTTCATATAATCTATACCGTGCATGACTAAAGAGAAGCAAGAAAAGTAAAGGAGAAAGTCCCAAGAAAACCACAATTATAACCTTAATCCTGCTTTAACTACTATAACTTGCTAGGTGAAATGCATTTAAAGTTTCACTACTATAGGGCTCTGAAGCAGCCACTTGTCCCTGTCATCACGGAGACTTGATCTCCAACATTGCTGCAGCTAGAGTCTTGCAGTTGTGACTTGATGAAACCTGGACATTCTGTGAAGATATCCACCAATCTGTCTTCTCCTCTGGGTAAAACCCAGTGACCAAGTCATAACCTCCACTTCTGAGCCAGACAATCAAAATGGTCATCAGTGAAGGATAGAGAAGGGGTACAGAAAGCAAAATTATTTTCTTTTGATGTTTTACTTTGAAATAAATATAAATTCAAAGAAAGTTACAAAAATAGTATAGGAGTTCCGTATATCTTCACCTAATTTTCCCCAGTGTGACACATTATGTCGTTGCAGTACAACATCAATACCAAGAAATTGACATTGGTATATGATGATTAACTAGGCTACAGATCTTACTCACTTTTCACCATTTTTAACCTGCATTTGTGTGTGTGTGTTTCTATGCAATTTCATCCCATTCATAGATTCACTTATTTCATGTATAGATTTATATCCCATAGGTAGATTTGTTATTTATATCAATGATTTTTTAGGTCTAGAACCAGTGCATTCTGTTCATTCCTATCTATAGTATACAAGCTACCCCGCTAGTACACATGATAAAATGTTTTATAAGTATCTCATTGCCAAGCCCTGCTCTTGAACTTAACAGTCCTGGTATAATAATTTGGAACACAATGAAGAGGTTGAGTTTCCAGTTCCTTTTTCAAAAGAGAAGCCTCCTCTTTTATGGAAATCAGAAATAGAAACCCATGGATGGTGAGAAGATGAGCTTTGTCCAATTCAGTCATGTAGCTTCTGCCCACTGTGGCTCCTGGACATATCAGAGGAGCTTGTTCCCTCTATACTTCAGTTAGAGTACAGTCAGAATGCCATACATATCCAATTGTACATGGGACATTTCTGTTTGGATGTCCTAAATCCCTTCCAGCTCATCATTCACCAAACTATACTTCTCAACTTTGTTTTTCAGCGTCCATTTTTTCAAGTATTTCCAATTTGTGAAAAATGCCATTATAAAGTTAATCAGATACCTTGACAGATCCTTGGCTTTTTTTCATCGGCATCTGCCTCCTCCAAATTTATTACCAAATTATGGCAACTGTATATCTTCCCCATCTACTGCCTTACTCACACTCTCTCAGCCCTGGCCATATTTAGGCCCTTACATTTTTTGTTTTTGTTTTTGTTTTTGTTTTGACTGAATGATATCATTTGTTTTTTAGTTGGTCTTTCTGTTTCCACAATGACTTAATGTATCTCTTATATTCTACTCTAATGCCGGAATAAATTTCAATAATATACAGTGTATTAAATGCTAGTCATTACATTCACCATGGCTATAAGATGCAGTAAAAATTCCTTAGGATTATATTAATTTTTCTTTATAATTTTGCCAAATCTATCGTTCTAGTCTCATTTTCTTCAAGTTCTCTTCTGGTGGTTGAGGCTCCTGTGAATATAAAGCTACCAGATATTCATTGAGTCCAAAATCTTCTCTTGCACCTTCATGCCTTTGAAAATAGTCTCTCAGTTCTTGGTTGTGCTTAAATATCAGTACTTGCTTTCTTCAATCACAGACTCCTATTCATCTTTCAGAAGAACTCCTCTTCTCCAAAAAGCATTCTCTTGTTAGCACTCCACCCAGCAAGGTACCTGAAATACATTAGAAGGTACGATACTACAATATACTTTTCAGCTTCCACTCTGAACTGGAAGACACTGACTATGAGAACTGTTACTTATTTTTATATTCTGAGCATTTTGGATATTATAATTTTCATGAATATTTGTTAAATTTTTAAAAAGTTATAAATAAAATTTATAAAACTAAAATTAGTAGAATGGTATTACTGGAAGTTACCTGAGAAATTATTTTGCTTATAGTTTTAATTTTATGGATTATAAAATTGAGACCTAGAGAGATCTCCAACAAAGACAAGTGTTATGGACTGAATTGTGTCCCACAAGATATGTATTGATGTTCTAACCTCAAAGAAGGTCCCATTGTGATATACGTACCAGATACATATCATGTATATATGTATGTGTGTGTGTAAGCATATATACACACTATAATTACTCTCTATATACATAATATATAAACATACATATATAATGCATGCATACATATACACACAATACATATATATGTTTGCATTACATATGTATGTATCTGGTACATATACACACTATATATGTATGTATGCATTTTATATGTATGTGCATATATATTCTGTATATAGAGAAGAATGTATAGTGTATATATGCTTACATACACATATATACATCTGATATGTATCTGGTACGTATATCACAATGTGACCTTTGAGGTTAGGACACCAATACATATCTTGTAGGATATTGTGTGTATATGCATGTATGCATTATACATGTATGTGTGTGTGTGTGTGTGTGTGTGTATATAGTGTGTGTGTGTGTGTGTGTATACATATATATATATCAGAATGTGAACTTATTTGGAAATATGGTCATTGTAGATGTGATAAGTTAATTTATAATGAGGTTATAGTAGAATAGGGTGGCCTCTTAATCCAATATGCATAGTGTCAGAAGAGAAGACACATGGACACATGATGGGAGAATAATTCATGATGAGAGCAGAAATTGAAGTGCTGCAGCTTCAAGCCAAAGAATGGCAAAGATTTCCAGCAAACCACCAGAGGCTAGAAGACAGAAGGGAGGATTCTCCTCTATAGGTTTTACAAGCAGCATATCTTTGATGACATCTTTATTCTGGACTTCTAGATTCCAGAATTTCCCTATGATCCAGGTCCCTAACAACCTGTTTCTTATTTTTTTGTTCTGTCCTAATAACAAAATGGGATTTTTTTTCTAAAAAGTAAATTTAATTTTATGGACACTTTGACATACCTGGTGATAAAACATATGTTACCTTTATTTTTTACAGATATCAGAATTTTGTTTTAACATACACTGGCCCTTTTAATAGAGTTATCCTGTCTGTGTTATATTGCTTTCTCTGAGGAAACACGTCTGTATTTGGCTATTAAAGCCAACAACCTGAAAAAAATATGTTATTTGGCTTTGTGTGTGTAATGGATCCTGTGATGGTTAATTTTATATATCATCCTGGCTAGCCTATGGTGCCCAGTGTTTGGTCAAATCCAAGTCTAGTTGTTGCTGTAAAGATATTTTTAGATGTGATTAATATTTACACACAGTAGAATCTGAGTAAAGCAGAAGCAGATTATTCTTCATAATGTGTATATATTTACATGCATAGCAGATATGGGTATATGTGTATTTGTATATATGTGCACACACACAACATATATAGTATAGAAATATACATAGTGTTTCACTGGAGAACCATGAATAATGCAGAACCCAAGTGATAAGTTCATATTCTTCAAATGCAGAGTAAGAAAGAGAGCTGGGACCTGGTAGGAGTGATGCTAGCATAGCCATGAGACAAAACCGTAAAAGAACAGAAACGTAGGGTATCCTCAAAGAGCAGAATATCTGAATTCAATAGCTTTCTGGGGGTGGTTTTACTGATCCTCATTAGGATCTCACACAAATCTCTAACCTGAGGGATGTATAAAATGTGTGGTGAGAAAAGGTTTGAAAGTATGATCAAATGAGATGAAAGCAAGAGTTTTAAACATAACGTGGCATCCTACAGTAGCCAATTAATTACTATATAATATATATTTGGGAGAACACTTGGGGCTATGAAGGTCAATATGGGTAGTGTTTTATTTGATCTTTTTCCATCTTTATAATGTGAGTAATTTTGTTTGAAGTTGGGAAAATGTCAAGAAGTAGTTATTTTACAGAAAAAGATACAGGCCCACATTTAATGTAATTGAATGTAATTCTGTCACCTGTACTTATTATAATAAATAATACTATTTATTTTCTTTTATATTTTGTTCCATTGAACTGTAAAATATTATTCCACACACTCACATAAGCACACACACACACACACACACACACACACACACACAGTTGTAGGCTCCACGATGGCAAAATGGTAAAGGAATTCCTATACTGACGAAGTTTAGAATATACCAGGAGAAGTAAGACCCTGGAGGGACAAAGATCATGACCTTAGAAATATCTGAAACTTTTCAGATGTGATACATATCATTTTTTATCAGCAAGGCTGTTCTTTACCTCCATCACTACCTCCTTTGCTTCTGTAGTTCTTAACCCATGCCTCTTCACCATAGAACGTATCACATTGTTTACGGATAATGTTTCCAAGAGTGTTTACCTATTGACTTTACCTCCTACTTGACCATCAACTCTGTAAAGGCAACACTGTAGGACATCAATAGCTCTTACTCATCTGTGTGCTGTCTCCCTTCCTAGCTCCCAAGGGGTTGTCTAAAGTGATTGTACTGCTAGTGAGCAAAAGCATAAATTGAAGAGTTAATGAATTCCAGAACAAAGGAATGTCTGCAGTCAAGGAAACATGTAAAGAATGTATGGTTAAAAGAGCATTTCTCAGTTTAAAATATGGCAATGATTAAAAGATATTAAGGGCAGCCATTTAGTAGGTGGACTGATTCCATTGTGCCATGTTATAGAATGGCTTTCAAAACTATCTTACCATTGAGTCTCTGCAATGAATAGGTGAGTAACATGAGCCATTGGCTAAAACACTTTCCTGACTCTCTCATCTCCCATCTTTTCTCATATAAATACTATGGAGATAACAATATTTCTAAGGTCATGATCTTTGTCCCTCCAGAATGTCATCCTCTTTTTTTTTTTTTTTTTCTGAGATGGAGTCTTGCCCTGTTGCCTAGGCTGGAGTGCAGTGGCATGATTTCGGCTCACTGCAACCTCTGCCTCCCAGGTTCAAGCGATTCTCCTGCCTCAGCCTCCCAAGTAGATGGGATTGCATGTGCATGCCAGCACACCCAGCTAATTTTTGTATTTTTATTAGAGACGGGGTTTCACCATGTTGGCCATGCTGGTCTCGAACTCTTGACCTCAAGTTATCCACCCACCTTAGCTTCCCAAAGTGCTGGGATTACAGGTGTGAGCCACTGCACCTGGCCTGTCATCCTCTTAAATAAGCCCAAATACTACTGTATTAGTCTGTTCTCACACTGCTATAAAGAAATGCCTGTAATTGGGTAATTTATAAAGAAAAGAGGTTTTTTTCTTTCTTTATAAATACCCACATCCACATAAATAATTGCCTCACAGTTCCACAGGCTGTACAGGAAGCATGATGCTGGCCATCTGCTTGGCTTCTGGGGAGGCCTCAGGAAACTTACAATGATGGCAGAAGGCAAAGGGGAGGCAGACATGTCTTACATGGCTGGATGAAGAGCAAGAGGAGGGAGAGAGGGGAGGTGCCACACACTTCTAAACAACCAGATCTCATGAGAACTCTATCATGAGACAGCACTAAGGAGGATGGTGTTAAACTATTAGAAACTGCCCCCATGATCCAATCACTTCCCACCAGGCCCCAGCTCCAACACTGAGAATTAAAATATGACATGAGATTTGGGTGGGGACACTAGATCCAAACATATCAACTACAGAAGGAGAGTATATAGGTTTTTAAATTTTTCACTTAGTTTCTGTACATTGTTACTGAATCACATATTAAGCCACAAATGCACTTGTTTTGGTGCATAGTCCATTTGTTCTTTAAGCTATATACATGAGAAAAAGTAAAAACTGTGAGGTTGAAGAAATATGGAGTAATTGCTTTTGTTATTCTAAGCCAAATAGAATTTTTGCAAAATTATATCTTAATTTGACCATCTGAAAAGCTGAAATACAAGAAATAATTATTAAACTTGTATAATACATTTAAAGCCACAACATGCAGGGTCCTTACCAAAGAAAATAGAAAAGTAAAGTAACTAATATTAACATTTACCTCCATTTTCCTCCTCCACTGTGACAGAAAATCTATTTTAGCGTGGTTATACCAAAAGAGCTATAGAATCTAACAAAATAAGTTATTGAATCCCCAGGGGAAAAAATCTTATGAGACTATACACAGATAATTATCCAGTGACTAAAGTTTATTCAATAAGATGCTGGTTTCTCTTCCCTAAGGCACAGATAAAATATACTAACATTTACAAACTGAGTCCAAAAATGTTAAACATTAAGTTTCTTAGAAAATACAGCTAGCTAGCTAGCTAGATATACATACATACATACATACATAGACTACACACACAAAAAATAGCTTCTGAAATGCAATCTGTATTCAATTATTCTGTCCATTTGATTTTTGTAACTTAGAACCACATGGGAGAAAATACTGAAATGAGAAGTATCATGGAGTAATGGAGAAAGAGGTGATTTGTAGTTATATAGACACCAATGCCTGTCTCAAACCCATTTCTGCTCTTTTCCAACTGTGTGACCACTTAAGGCACTGATTCCCACTTCACTAATGTGAGAAATAAAAAAGAAACATATAAAAGTAAGAACACTTAGCATTAGGATTTAGACATTCAATTTTAGGTCTTCTTTTCTAATTATAGTGTTTTTATTTTTCAATCAATAATATGAGCAGTTGAAGTTTTCTCTACTCTAACCCACACCCACATAAATAATCTAAGATATGGTAAGAGGATTGAAGACATAAGGAAAGAGATTTAATAAAGAATTTTTGATATTGGATAGTTGACAACTTTCAAGTAGCACTTCCCCCTTCACTTCTGTCCCACATCTGGACAAACTGGATAAAAAGTTATTGGTGCTCCCTTCTTTGGCAATATAGAGAAGCTCAAACCATGTAAACTCAGTCATGTTTGTGGGAACCCTCACCTAACCATGATACAACCCTAAGCTATTGCCCCTTTTTATTTTCTTTCTCTTTCAAGCCATTTTGGGACCAGCCTGAGAGCATACTCTGCTCTACCCAGAAAGCTCAGTAAGTAATTAATAGACCTCTGATACCTTCTTTGTTTGTGTATGATATCATCAGTCCCAACATTTAAACTATATTATGGGTAGAAGGGTTTATGCCACAGCAATTGACACAATGAGCAGGGTGTCTGCTGTGTGACCACCACCACCACTGGAAGTCTTTCTTCCTCAGCTTTGGCTTTCTAACTGGCTCTGCTGCCTGATGGTTAGCCTGTGCTTTGAGATGTTACCTGTTGACAAACTTATAGCTTTTTCTGTACTGCATTTTCTGAGTTTTATCGAACCTCTGTTACAGATTTGGTCAACTTATGTCAAAAGTTTCAAACACTTGTGAATAGAAATATGCAATTGGGGCTTTCTTTAAAGTGGCATTGGGTTGCATGTCTCACTCCACACCTATCTGTGTATTTTACATTGAATCATTAATCTCAATTCTAACATAAGCTCTGCCTGACACTATGCTCAGTAGAACAACTCTTACCCTGTAACTGCTGGTTTTGTATATCACACCTAGCATTGACTCCAATCTATTGAGTTTCAAGGGCAAGACTAATACCCTGTGAAACATATGGGATGAACGGGTGGTAGCTTGTGTGGAGGAAGGGTAGCCATCTCATGACATGCAGTGGTCACACTCCTAAGGGTAGAGGGCTCACCAGGACCCTACAAAATGTCTTTGCTGATGGTACTACCTATATCTATATTGCAACAAAGATCTAGATCCTCATCATTACAGGGAAAAACCCACAAGCTTGATTTAAACTTAGGATCCTTAAACCCAGTGAAGTAACAATTGCCATGGAAAGGTCCCTAATCTTGATGATACTAATTTGTGACTCTGGAGGAAGAAACTTGTAAATATGAACAAGGAAATTAGGACTATACACCCAGAGTATATCCAGTAACAAGAAAGAGAAAGAGAGAAAGAAAGAAAGAAACAAAGAAAGAAAGAAGAGAAAGAGAAAGAAAGAAAAAAGAAAAGAAAGAAAGGAGAAAGAAAGAAAGAAAAAAGAAAGGAAGGAAGGAAGGAAGGAAAGAGAGAGAAAAAGAAGAAGAAAAAAGAGAGAAAGAAAAAAGAAAGGAAAGAAAGAAAAAGAGAGAAAGAAGAGAGATAAAAAGAAAGAAGAAAGAAAGAAAAAAGAAAGAGGAGGAAAGAAAAAGAAAGGAAGAAAGAAGAAAAAAGGAAGGGAGGGAGGGAGGAAGGAAGGAGGGGAGGAAGGAAGGAAAAACAAACCCTGGACACTAGGTGAGGAAAAAACAAACAAAATGTCTAAAAAAAGTTTCCATAATTTGACCCAATTAGATATTGTATATTTACTAAAATAATTCTATAATAAAAAGATAAAAAGGCACTAAGTAGATTTTGCACCCGTGAAAGGATGATAATATCTTGTGACTGTGATGCCAAACTCACTATGCCAAAGAAAAAAGTCAAGCTTGGAAATTGTCATGCGAAAAACTGCCTTTCCCTTTGTTCCAAACAGATAGCTGCAAAATAAAAAGCCACATATCTCCCCAGGTGGCCTCCCTCAACCTGAGGATGTAAATTAACAACTGGTGCAGGACAAGACTACAAATCATCCCTCTGCTCACTCCAACACAAATGCATATTTGACTTCTTCCTCTATTTTCTGTTAACTTTTCACACTTTGGAAACAGTGTGGGCTACAGATCTTTCGGTGACTTGACAGCAAGACCTTTTTCCCAAGTGCTTTCTCAACCTTGGCAAAATAAATTTCTAAATTGGTTAATTGGTTGAGACCTGTCTCAGGCACTTTTTTGGTTTACACACCTCTACAATGTAAGTTCTGTTTTTTTTGTTTTGTTTTGTTTTTGTTTTTTTAAATAGGCAGTCTTGCTCTGTCACTCAGGCTGGAGTGCAGTGGTGCGATCTTGGCTCACTGCAGCCTCCACCTCCCAGGTTCAAGTCGTTCTCTGTTGCCTCAGCCTCTCGAGTAGGTGGGATTACAGACTCCTGCCACCACACCTTGCTAACTTTTGTATTTTTAATAGAGATAGGGTTTTGCCATGTTGGCCAGGCTGGTCTTGAACTCCTAACCTCAGGTGATCCACCCACCTCAGCCTCCCAAAGTGCTAGGATTACAGGCATGAACCCCTGTGCCCAGTCCTCTACAATATAAGTTCTGAATCAACATTAACATCTACTGAGATGTACCAACTAGCAGACCTCCATGGCCTTAATCAATACAGCGTCTCAAATTACATTTATGCCTGGGAATCTCTCTAAATATAAATAAGGTACCCCTTATACTTTTAGATTAATTGCCGAATATAAAATAAAAGACAAATAGTTATGCTTCACTTTATCCTCTGAGCTTTGCTTTGCCTAACTTTCCTATTCTCATATCCTGAAATATCCTTAGTGAGCGTGGGTGCTCTCAAGTAATTAATAAGCAATAAAAATTAAGTCATTGGCACTTAAAAGTGACTTGACAAAACAGATCAAATGTCCCTGCCCCTTCACACCAGTTAAAATAGTTAACCTATTCTCGTAAATTCCTCTCATGTCTCTTGGACCCCAGCCATAATTACTAATTTGTTTATGATATTCTGATGCAAGAAACTTTCTTCCTTAACCCCGTGTTATATGTTGTTACAGCAGCAATTGCTGGACATATACTGGGCTTTCCTGAATACAGAGGCTCTGATATCCTGAGCCTATGATTCCCTGTACTGAATTGCTCATTTGCTTTTGTTGGAGACACAGCATCCCACAAGGAGTACAGGTGGCCACCCAGGCCTTTTTGCTGTAACAGAAATTGTAGCTACAGAACACCTATAGCACTTCTGGCATTTCCCACCTGAAGGAGGTAATGGTCCCCCCAAACTCAGTCCTTTGCCAGATGCCATGATGCCAGAAATACTGGAAACAGAGCAATTCTACCTTGAATAGGGGCTGGGGAAAATGAGGCTGAGACCTGCTGGGCTGCATTCCCAGGAGGTTAAAACATTCTTAGTCACAGGATGAGATGGGAGGTCTGCACAAGATGCAGGTTACAGAGACCTTGCTGATAAAACAGGATGTGGTAAAGAAGCCAGCCAAAACCCACAAAAACCAAGATGGCAACACACGTGACCTCAGCAAAACCAAGATGGTGACACAAGTTGTCCTCACTGCTCATTATATGCTAATTATAGTGCATTAGCATGCTAAAAGACACTCCCACCAATGCCATGACAGTTTACAAATGCCATGGCAGTGTCAGGAAGTTACCCTATATAGTCTAAAAAGGAAAGGAACCCTCATTTCTGGGGAATCCCTGCCCCTTTCACAGAAAGCTTACATACAGGGCACTCCTGGATGGTGACAGGATAGCCCTAGAGATACACATTGTCACCCATCTATAAGCTACTTTTAAGCTAATTTTTAGTCTCTTTGACTACTGTGTTTGAGTGATGAAAATGTTTTCTTTGGTATGTTCCCAGACTCTGGGATGTTTGGGTTCTCAGGGATACCTGCTCCTCATCTGGGCACCATGGCCTTGACTCATTTCCCAGCATTCAGTGTTCAAGCAGCTGTTGCATATTCCTAAGTAATCTGGTGGGGTACTTGTCAGATTACAACATGAAGCTTGGGATTTTCCCAGGAGATGCTGTCTTTTTTTCTCTTCGTGGTGGTCTATAGCATTACAATATGTTTGATAAGAAAAAAATGGACTTTCCAGAAAGAAAATATTCTAAGCCTTTGACAAATTTTGAGTATACAGATCTTTTCTGTTGTAAAATTACATGTTCAATAAAATTAAGAGTTTAGATTTCCAAGAATTGACATAATTGTGGTCTCTGATTTAACAGATATTTGCTTAGTTTACAAGATTTTCTCATATTATTTTTTAATTTTTTCACTTGTTTACATTTTATTCTCCCATCTATGCATCGATTTTCTAACAAAAATAGTGATATATTAAAGGGATCATTTTCTTCCTTTATAATACCTCATTTATGTTTGTAATTCCAGAATCTCACATATTGCAAATATTGTATAGAGTTGCTTACTGATTTATATGTATCTTTTTTTAGATTATCATGCCAATGTGAGGGACTGGGGAGATACCTCCTTAGTCTGTGAAATAATTTCTCTATTCATTCTGAAAGTTATCTTCCCCTATTAGATCCCTTAAGTTTTCAATAACTACTTCCATTCCTAGACCTGGAATCAGAATTCCTTAATTTTTAATTTAATTATGTGTAGAAATCAATTGATACCACAACTTCTTATAAAATAGAACTCATGTATTTCCTGTTATAAGAAAAATAAAGAATTTGTACAAAATTATTTTTGGATCTCACTGAAACAGTCCTAAGCCCTTGGGAATACAGCCAAGATAACTGGTCATCATGGAGATTAAAATGCACCAAAGCAAGCCCCATCTTCCTGACTAAAGTACAGCTGGCCCAGAGGCTGACTCAGATTGAGCCAAACGGTATTAATTAATTTTGAGCTTTTCTGTGCCAGATGATCTCTAAAGTCACATTGTATTCTGAGATTTTGTTTTGAACAAGCTATCTTTTACTTGTCATTAATAATACTTTCAAAGTACTCTAATACTATTAAAATATTATTTGTAAAAAATTTCTTAGCTTGAATTATTTCTAAAGATGACTATTCATTTGGATTTTGTTCTGATATCTAGTATCACTGACAATAATATTTAGCATCTTAAATAATTAGAAGCTCAATGCAGTCACTTTTGCAATTGAGTGCAATCTTAACATGAAGTTTAAATCAACCCCAGCCTTGATGTGGTGGCTCATGCGTGTAATACCAGCACTTTGGGAGGCCGATGAGAGTGGATTGCTTGAGCCCAGGAGTTCAAGATCAGCCTGGGAAACATAGCGAGACCTTGATTACACATACACACACACACACACACACACACACACACACACACACACACACATATTAGCTGAGTATAGTGGTACACACTTGTAGTCCCAGCAATTCAGGAGGCTGAGGCAGGAGGACTGCTTGAACCCAGCAAGTTGAGGTTGAAATGCACCATAATCATGCCACCCCAGCTTGGGGAACGAAATGAGACCCTGTCTCAAAAAATAAATAAACAGAAATAAATCAACCCTAGCCTTTCCTCTAAGGAATTTACCTGTTGACAATTTTAATATAGAGATATATTTGTGTATTGTTTGCACTTACTACAATACTTAGTATGAGTCAAAAATTCTTCTTCTCCTTACCTTTGCTTTACTTTATAATCCTTTCTCCACATGCCTTCAAATTTAGGTTCTGAACTTTTATCATTTTGTTCTTTAATATTAACTGACAGGGTATGAACTTTCAAGTGCTGCTTGTATTTCCCCATGTTTACAGCGTAATTATAATTTTGTATTATAAATATTATATCTATATAATATCTTAAACCCTCTCATCTAAGATAATTTTAGGTATAAATGAGAAAAGTTGATTGCACGTAAGATGGCAGAATAGGAAAACCTGAACCCTTCTTCTGCCCACATAGTGATTCAATAATAAATCATGGACAATTTCCTTTTGTGAGGAAATACAGAAACCAGTTGAGAGGCTTCTGCACCTCAGGCAAACAAAAAACTAGACATCTCAACACCAGTAGGAAAATCTGAGACACCATCTCTCCAGAATCTCCATGCCCAGCATAACACTAAATCAGGAAAAATGCTCCAAGAGCTCTTAGCTTCTCCTTGGGGAGGGAAAGAGTTGGAACAAACATTTGTCACCCCAACTTTTCTGGGGACTTTCCAGAGCACTGACTTTTGTTTTGACATTCATGGAGCACTGGTGGGATCCAAAATACTTTAGCCACCTGGAAGACAACAGATACAGCAGTTTCAGATAGCAGTTGCCACAGTCCTTTCCTCCAGCAAGCACAGAACAAGTGGATAAAAAAAAAAAAATCTCAGTTCTTATGTCTGGCTATGCAAAGAGTTGGTTTGTGCATCCAGTGCCCCACATTTTCTGGAAGCTACCCAAAGGACTGGCTTCTGTCTTGGAGTGCTAATGGGACCTGACATGATTTAGCCACCTAAGGGCTAATGAGAACAGAGATAGCAATTTGAGCTGACAGTCACTACAGCCCTCTTCTTGGCTCAGTACAGTACAAGCAGATTAACAACTTAAACCCCCACCTTCTCTCTGGGGAGGCAAAGAGTTGAACTGAATGCTTAAATCCCCACATTTTTGAGTTGTTCAAAGGACTGAATTATTTCCTGCTTGCCTCAGAGTGCAAATGGAACCAGGCCACCTAGTCTAGCCACCTGGCAGGCAGTGAGAACAAAAACAATGATTTGAGCTAGTATGCAACTAGTCACCATAGCTTCTCCTTCCAAGCTCAACACAGACAGAAAACAAGTAAAACAGAAACAAATAACAAACAAACAAGAAAAGATCCCAGCTTCTCTCTGGAAGGAGAAAGTTGTGGACAAAGCATCTAAAGATCCAACTTTTCTGCAGGCTTCCCAAAGAATTGGTTTCAGTCGCACTTACCTGGGCACACTTGTTGCAGGAAGTCAGGGAACTCGAACGGAGGGACTGGCTGAAGCCACGGCAGAAGAACATAAATTGTGAAGATTTCATGGACATTTGTTAGTTCCCCAAATTAATACTTTTATAATTTCTTAGACCTGTCTTTACTGCACTCTCTGAACATAAATTATGAAGATTTCATGGACATTTATCACTTCCCCAGTAAATACTCTTATAATTTCCTATGCCTGTCTTTAATCTCTTAATTCCGTCATCTTCGTAAGCTGAGGATGTATGTTGCCTCAGGACACTGTGATGATTGCGTTAACTGCACAAATTGTTCGCAAAGCATGTGTGTTTGAACAATATGAAATCTGGGCACCTTGAAAAAAGAACAGGATAACAGCAATGTTCAGGGAACAAGGGAGATAACCATTAGGTCTGACTGCCTGGGAGCCGGGCAGGACATAGTCATATTTCTCTTATTGCCGAAAATGGGTAAGAGAAATATTGCTGAATTCTTTCCCTGGTAAAGAGTATTAATAATTAACAGACCTGAGAAAAGAATGCATTCCCAGGGGGAGGCCTCTAAAATGGCCACTCTGGGAGTGTCTGCCTTATGCAATTGTAGATAGGGATGAAACATGCTATGGTCTCCTGCAGTGCCCCCAGGCTTGCTAGGATTAGGAAATTCCAGCCTGGCAAATTTTAGTCAGACTGGTTCTCGTCTCTTGAACCCTGTTTCCTGTTAAGATGTTTATCAATGACAATGCATGCACAGTGGGACATGAAACTTCATCAGCAATTCTAGTTTCGCCCTGGCCTTGTGACCTTGCCCTGCCCATTTGCCTTGTGATATTTTATTGCCTTTGAAGCATGTGATCTCTGTGACCCACACCCTATTCGTACACTCCCTCCCGTTTGAAAATTGCTAATAAAAACTTGCTGGTTCTGCAGCTCAGGGGGCATACACATTGTTGAACCTGGCATACTATAGATGTCTGGGGGACACTAAAAATAAAGGAAGTAGGTTGGACTATAACAAAGGTTTAAGAGGTCCCAAGAATCTTTCCAAACTGATTAGTAAAAGCCTATTGCATGAGGCCATTTTGTGAAGAGAGAGAGATGTCTGCTTTGTCTAATAGGCAGACACCAACAGAGAGAATCAAGAAAAATTTTTAAGAATGGGAAATATGGCCAGGCATGGTGGCTTACACCTGTAATCTCAGCACTTCAGGAGGCCAAGGCGGGTGGATCACGAGGTTGAGAGATCTAGACCATCCTGGCCAACAAGGTGAAACCCCATCTCTACTAAAATACAAAAAAAAAAAAAAAATTAGCTGGGCATGGCAGCATGTGCCTGTAACCCCAGCTACTTGGCAGGCTGAGACAGGAGAATCACTTGAACCCAGGAGGCGGAGGTTGCAGTGAGCTGAGATCAACCAGCAGATGCACTGCACTCCAGCCTGGGTGACAGAATGAGACTCTGTCTCAAAAAAAAAAAAAAAAAAAAAAAAAGCTGAGAAATATGTTCCAAAAAAAGAAACAAGATAAATCTTCAGAAACAGATTCTAATCAAACAGAGACATAATTTATCTGACAAAGAATTCAAATAACCCTCATAAAGAGTCTCACTGAGATCAGGAGAACAATATATTAACAAAGTAAGAATATTGATAAAGAGAAATATTAAAAAGTACCAAACAGAAAATATGGAGCTAAAGAACACAATAACTAAACTAAATATTTCACTACAGGAGTTCAACAGCAAACTAGATCAAGCAGAAGAAGGATGGGCAAACTCAAAGACAGGTCACAAAAAAATTATTTAGTCAGAGGGACAAAAAGATTCAAAAGAGTAAAGAAAGCATAAGGGACTTATGGGGCACCATCCAGCAGGTCACTACATGCATTTTGGGAGTCCCATACGGAGAATAAAATCAGCAGCAGAAAATTTATTCAAAGAAATAATGGCTGAAAACTTCCTAAATCTGTGAAGGAGATGAAATACAGATTCCAGAAACTCAAATTTCCTAAAATAAGATAAACCCAAAGAAATATACACTAAGGGAAATTATAATCAAATTGTTAAAAGTCAAAGACAGGGAGTATTTTGAAGGCAGCAGAGGAAAAGCAACTTATGACATACAGTGTAACCCTCAGAAAACTATTAGAGGATTTTTTAAGTGCAATGATATATTCAAAGTGCTGAAAGACAAAAATTGCCAATCAAGAATACTATACCTAAAACAACAACAAAAATCCTAAACCTGGCAAAACTATCCTTCAAAAAATTAAAGAGAGATAGGAATTTTCTAGACAAACAAAAGCTGAGGAAGTTCATCACAACTAGACCTGCTTTACCAGAAATGCAAAAGAGTGTTCTTCAATGGGAAATAAAACAGCCCTAAATAGCAGTACAGTAGCCTAAGAAAGTATAAAGCTCAATGGTAAAGGCAATATATAAATAATAAAAATACTATATTACTGTGATTGTGATGGTAAGTCACTTTAAATTTTATCATAAAAATTAAAAGTATTAATTATAACTGAAAATACGTTAATGGATACAAGTATAAATAGATGTACATTGTGACATCAACAGCAATAAATGTAGAGTGGGGGAGAAGTAAAAGTGTAATTTTTGCATGGGATTGAACTTGGTTGTTATCAGTTTAAAATAGAGTGTTAGAAAATATTTATTTAGGCTGGGCGCGGTGGCTCACGCCTGTAATCCCAGCACTTTGGGAGGCCGAGGCGGGCGGATCACAAGGTCAGGAGATCGAGACCATCCCGGCTAAAACGGTGAAACCCCGTCTCTACTAAAAATACAAAAAATTAGCCGGGCGTAGTGGCGGGCGCCTGTAGTCCCAGCTACTTGGGAGGCTGAGGCAGGAGAATGGTGTGAACCCGGGAGGCGGAGCTTGCAGTGAGCCGAGATCCCGCCACTGCACTCCAGCCTGGGCGACAGAGCGAGACTCCGTCTCAAAAAAAAAAAAAAAAAGGAAAATATTTATTTACTTATTTATGAATTTATTGAGATGGACTTTTGCTCTTGTCACCCAGGCTGGAGTGCAATGGCATGATCTCAGCTCACTGCAACCTCCGCCTCCTGGGTTCAAGTGATTCTCCTACCTCAACCTCCTGGGTAGCTGGGATTACAGGTGCCCACCATCACGCTTGGCTAATTTTTTTGGTATTTTTAGTAGAGACAGGGGTTCACCATGTTAGCCAGGCTGTCCTCGAATTCCTGACCTCAGGTGATCCACCTGCCTCTGCCTCCCAGAGTGCTGGGATTACAGGCGTGAGTCACCACACCTGGGCCAAAAGATATTTTATGTTGGTCCTGTAGTAATCACACACACACACACACACACACAATACCTACATAGGTTATATAAAACAAGAAAGAAAGAAACCCAGTTATAGCAATACAAAATAATCAATGAAACACAAAGAGAGTAAGACAGAAAAAGAGGGACAAGAGAAATACAAGACAGAAATCAATTAACAAAACAGCCATAGTATTAACAAATTATTTCCAATAAATAATATCTTTAAATGTAAATGGATGAAAGTCCCCATTCAAAAGGCACAAAGAGGCTAAATAAAATTTTTTAAAAGATCCATATATTTGCCAGTCTGTGTCTTTTAACTGGGGCATTTGGCCCATTTATATTTAAAGTTAACATTGTTATGTGTGAATTTGATCCTATAATTATGATGCTAGCTGGTTATTTTGCCTGTTATTTGATGCAGTTTCTTCGTACCATCGACGGTCTTTACAATTTGGTATGTTTTCACAGTGGCTTGTACCGTTCATTCCTTTCTTTGTTTAGTGCTTCCTTCAGGAGCTCTTGTAAGGCATGCCTGGTGGTAACAAAATCTCTCACCGTTTGCTTGTCTGTAAAGGATTTTATTTCTCCTTCACTTATGAAGCTTAGTTTGGCTGGATATGAAATTCTGGGTTGAAAATTCTTTTCTTTAAGAATGTTGAATATTGACCCCCACTCTCTTCTGGCTTGTAGGGTTTCTGCTGAGAGATCTGCTGTTAGTCTTATGGGCTTCTCTTTGTGGGTTACCCGACTTTCTCTCTGGCTGCCCTTAACATTTTTTCCTTCATTTCAACCTTGGTGAATCTGACGATTCTGTGTCTTGGGGTTGCTCTTCTCAAGGAGTATCTTTGTGGTGTTCTGTGTATTTCCTGAATTTGAATGTTGGCCTGTCTTGCTAGGTTGGGGAAGTTCTCCTGGATAATATCCTGCAGAGTGTTTTCCAACTTGGTTCCATTCTCCCCATCACTTTCAGGTACACCAATCAAACATAGATTTGGTCTTTTCACTTAGTCCAATATTTCTTGGAGGCTTTGTTCATTCCTTTTCACTCTTTTTTCTCTAATCTTGTCCTCTCACCTTATTTCATTATTAAGTTGACCTTCAATCTCTAATATCTTTTCTTCCACCTGATCGATTCTGCTATTGATAGTTGTGAATGCTTCAAGAAGTTCCCATGCTGTGTTTTTCAGCTCCATCCTGTCATTTATGTTCTTCTCTAAACTGGTTATTCTAGTTAGCAATTCGTCTAACCTTTTTTCAAGGTTTTTAGCTTCCTTGCATTGGGTTAGAACATGGTCCCTTAGCTCAGGGGAGTTTGTTATTACCCACCTTCTGAAGCCTACTTGTGTCAATTCGTCAAATTCATTCTCTGTCCATTTTGGTTCCCTTGCTGGTGAGGAATTGTGATCCTTTGGAGGAGAAGAGGCATTCTGGTGTTTGGAATTTTCAGCCTTTTTGCACTGGTTTCTCCCCATCTTCATGGATTTATCTATCTTTGATGTTGGTAACCTTCAGATGGGGTCTCTGAGTGGATGTGCTATTCCTTTCTATTTGTGAGTTTTCCTTCTAACAGTCAGGACCTTCTGCTGCAGGTGTGGTGGAGTTTGCTGGAGGTCCACTCTTGACACTGTTTGCCTGGGTATCACCAGTGGAGGCTGCAAAACAGCAATGATTGCTGCCTGTTTTTTTCTCTGGAAGCTTCGTCCCAGAGGGGCACCTGACAGATGTCAGCCAGAGCTCTCCTGTATGAGGTGTCTGTGGGCCCCTACTGGGAGGTGTCTCCCAGTTAGGATACACAAGGGTCAGGGACCCACTTGAGGAGGCAATCTGACCCTCATCAGAGCTTGAACGCTGTGCTGGGAGGTCCACTGCTCTCTTCAGAGCCATCAGGCAGGGACTTTTAAGTCTGCTGAAGCTGCGCCCATAGCCATCTCTTCCCCCAGGTGCTCTGTCCCAAGGAGATGGGGGTTTTATCTATAAGTCCCTGACTGGGGCTGCTGCCTTTGTTTTCAGAGATGCCCTGCCTAGAGAGGACGAATCTAGAGAGGCAGTCTGGCCACAGCAGCCTTGCTGAGCTGCGGTGGGCTCTGCCCAGTTCAAAATTCCTGGCAGCTTTGTTTACACTGTGAGGGTAAAACCGCCTACTCAAGCCTCAGCAATGGCGGATGCCCCTCCCCCCACCAAGCTAGAGCATCCCAAGTCAACCTCAGGCTGTTGTGCTGGCAGCAAGAATTTAAAGCCAGTGGATCTTAGTTTGCTGGGCTCCGTGGGGGTGGGCCCAGCCAAGCCAAACCACTGGCTCCCTGGGAGTGAACAGTTCTGTCTCGCTGGCATTCCAGGCAACACTGAGGTATGGAAAAAAAAAAAAAATTCCTGTAACTGGTTCTGTGTCTGCCGAAACAGCTGCTCAGTTTTGTGCAGGGAACCCAGGGCCCTGGTGGCATAGGCACTGGAGGGAATCTCCTAGTCTGCAGGGTGCAAAGAGTCAAGACCCTTCAGTGTGTTGTGTTCAGGAGGCCCATCTCACGTGCAAAGACACACATAGGCTCAAAATAAAGGGATGAAGGAATATTTACCAAGCAAGTGGAAAGCAAAAAAAAAGAAAAAAAAAAAAGGCGGGAGTTGCAATCCTAGTCTCTGATAAAACAGACTTCAAACCAAAGAAGGGCATTACATAATGGTAAAGGGAGAATTGCAACAAGAAGAGCTAACTATCCTAAATATATATGCACCCAATACAGGAGCACCCAGATTCATAGAGCAAGTTCTTTGAGACCTACAAAGAGATTTAGACTCCCACAAAATAATAGTGGGAGACTTTAACATCCCACTGCCAATATTAGACAGATCAACAATACAGAAGGTTAACAAAGAAATCTGGACTTGAACTCAGCTCTGCACCAAGAGGACCTAATAGACATCTACAGAACTATCCACCCCAAATCAACATAATGTACATTCTTCTCAGCACCTCATCACACTTATTCTAAAATTGACCACATAATTGGAAGTAAAACACTCCTCAGCAAATGCAAAAGAACAGAAATCATAACAAACAGTCTCTCAGTGTAATTAAATTAGAACTCAGGACTAAGAAACGCATTCAAAACTGTACAACTACATGGAAACTGAACCTGCTCCTGAAAGACTACTGGGTGCATAACAAAATGAAGGCAGAAATAAAGATGTTCTTTGAGTCCAGTGAGAACAAAGACACAACGTACCAGAATCTCTGGGACACATTTAAAGCAGTGTGTAGAGGGAAATTTATAGCACTAAATGCCCACAAGAGAAAGCAGGAAACATCTAAAATCGATACCCTAACATCACAATTAAAGGAACTAGAGAAGCAAGAGCAAACACATTCAGAAGCTAGCAGAAGACAAGAAATAACTAAGATCAGAGCAGAACTGAAGGAGATAGAGACATGAAAAACCCTTCAAAAAATCAGTGAAGCCAGGAGCTGTTTTTCTGAAATGATCAACAAACTAGACTGCAAACCAGACTAATAAAGAAGAAAAGAGAGAAGAACCAAACAGATGCAAAAAAACAAAAAAATGGGAAGAGGTATTTCACCACTGACCCACAGAAATACAAACTACTATCAGAGAATGCTATAAACACCTCTATGCAAATAAACCAGAAAACCTAGAAGAAATCCAGAAAACTACCATCAGAGAATAGTATAAACACCTCTTCTAGAAAATCTAGAAGAAATGGATAAATTTCTGGACTCATACACCCTCCCAAGTCTAAACCAAGAAGAAGTCAAATAACTGAATAAACCAATAACAAATTCTGCAATAAATTAATATCCTACCAACCAAAAAATGTCCAGGACCAGGTGGATTCACAGCTGAATTCTACCAGAGGTACAAAGAGGAGCTGGTACCATTCCTTCTGAAACTATTCTAAGAAATAGAGAAAGAGGGAACCCTCCCTAACTCATATTATGAGGCCAGCATCTTGATACCAAAACGTGGGATAGACACACAAAAAAAGAAAATTTCAGGCCAATATCCCTGATGAACATCAGTGCGAAAATCCTCAAGAAAATACTGGCAAATTGAATCCAGCAGCACATCAAAAGCTTATCTACCACAATCAAGTCGGTGTCATCCCTGGGATGCAAGGCTGGTTCAACATACACAAATGAAAAAAACGTAATGCATCACATAAACAGAACCAGTGACAAAAACCACGATTATCTCAATAGATGCAAAAAAGACATTTGACAAAATTCAACACCCCTTCATGCTAAAAAATCTCAATAAGCTAGGTATTGATGGAATGTATCTCAAAATAATAAGAGCTATTTATGACACACCCACAGCCCATATCATACTGAATGAGCAAAAGCTGGAAGCATTCCCTTTGAAAACCGGCACAAGACAAGGATGTCTTCTCTCACTACTCCTATTCAACATAGTATGGAAGTTCAGGCCAGGGCAACCAGGCAAGAGAAAGCAATAAAGGGTATTCAAATATGAAGAGAGGAAGTCAAATTGTCTCTGTTTGCAGATGACATTATTGTATATTTAGAAAACCCCACCTTCTCAGCCCAAAATCTCCTTAAGCTGATAAGCAACTTGAGCAAAGTCTCAGGATACAAAATCAATGTGCAAAAATCACAAGCATTCCTATACACCAGTAACAGATAAACAGAAAGCCAAATCATGAATGGACTCCCATTCACAATTGCTACTAAAAGAATAAAATACCTAGGAATACAGCTTACAAGGGATGTGATGCCAGCTAGAATGACAATCATTAAAAAGTCAGGAAACAACAGATGCTGGAGAGGATGTGGAGAAATAGGAATGCTTTTACATTGTTGGTGGGAGTGTAAATTAGTTCAACCATTGTGGAAGACAGTGCAGCGATTCCTCTAGGATCTAGATCTAGAAATACTATTTGACTGAGCAATCCCTTTGCTGGCTATATACCCAAAGGATTATAAATCATTCTACTTTAAAGACACATGCATGTGTATGATTATTGTGGCACTATTCACAATAGCAAAGACTTGGAACCAACACAAATGTTCACCAATGAAAGACTGGATAAAGAAAATGTGGCACATATACACCATGAAATACTATGCAGACATAAAAAATGGATGAGTTTATGTCATTTGCAGAGACATGGATGAAGCTGGAAACCATCATTCTCAGCAAACTAACACAAGAACAGAAAACCAAACACTGCATTCTTACTCATAAGTGGGAGCTGATGAGAACACATGGACACAGGGAGGGGAACATCACACACCAGGGCCTGTTGGTGGGTGGGGGGCTAGGGGAGGGATAGCATTAGGAGAAATACCTAATGTAGGTGACAGGTTGATGGGTGCAGCAAACCACCATGGCACATGTATACCTATGTAACAAACCTGCACGTTCTGCAAATGTACCCCAGAACTTAAAGTATAATAAAATAAACATACAAATACTTGCTGCCTACAAAAAACTCACTTTAGATTTAAGGACACACCTGGTGAAAGAAGTGGTTAAGATATCCCTGGTAGATGGTAACCAAAAGACAGCAGGGATAACTATATTATATCAAACATAATAGAATTTAAGTAAAAAATTATCACAAGAACTTCTTTAGTTTAGTTAGATCCTATTTGTAAATTTTGGCTTTTGTTGCAATTGCTTTTGGTGTTTTCATCATGAAGACGTTGCCCATGTCCTGAATGGTATTGCCTAGGTTTTCTTACAGGGTTTTTATGGTTTTGGGTTTTATATTTAAGTCTTTAATCCATCTTGAGTTAATTTTTGTGTAAAGTATAGGGAAGGGACCCAGTTTCAGTTTTCTGCCTATGGCTAGCCAGTTTTCCCACCCCCACTTATTAAATAGGAGATCCTTTCCCCATTGCTTGTTTTTGTCAGGTTGGTTGAAGATCAGATGGTTGTAGATGTATGATGTTATTTCTGAGACCTCTGTTCTGTTTCATTGGTCTATATGTCTGTTTCGGTACTAGTACCAGGCTGTTTTGGTTGCTGTAGCCTTGCAGTATAGTTTGAAGTCAGGTAGTGTGATGCTTCCAGCTTTGTTCTTTTTCCTTAGGATTGTCTTGACTATGCGGGCTCTTTTTTGGTTCCATATGAAATTTAAAGTTTTTTTTTCTACTTATGTGAAGAACATCAATAGTAGTTTGATGGGAATAGAATGAACTCTATAAATTACTTTGAGCAATATAACCATTTTCATGATACTGATTCTTCCTATCCATGAGCATGGAATGTTTCTTCATTTGTTTGTTTCCTCTCTTATTTCCGGGAGTGGTGGTTTGTAGTTCTCCTTGAAGAGGTTGTTCACATCCTTGTAAGCTGTATTCCTAGGTATTTTATTCTCTTTGTACCAATTGTGAATGGGAGTTCATTCATGATTTGGCTTTCTGCTTCTCTATTGCTTGTGTATAGGAATGCTTGTGATTTTTACACATTGATTTTGTATCCTGAAACTTTGCTGAAGTTGCTTATCAGCTTATGGAGTTTTTGGGCTGAGATGATGGGATTTTCTAAATACAGAATTATGTTATCTGCAGAGACAATTTGACTTACCCTCTTCCTGTTTGAATACCCTTTGTTTCTGCACAGCAAAATAAACTAGCATTAGAGTGAACAGGCAACCTGTAGAATGAGAGAACATTTTTGCAGTCTACCCATCTGACAAAGGTCTAATATACAGAATTTAGAAGGAACTTAAAGAAGTTTACAAGAAAAAAACAACCCCATCAAAAAGTGGACAAGGGATATGAACAGATGCTTCTCTTTTTATGTGGCCAACAAACATATGGAAAAAAACTCATCATCATTGATATTAGAGAAATGCAAATCAAAACCTCAATGAGACATCATCTCATGCCAGTTAGAATGGTGATTATTAAAAAGTCAGAAACAATAGATGCTGGCAAGGCTGTGGAGAAATAGGAATGCTTTTACACTGTTGGTGGGAGTGTAAATTAATTCAATAATTGTGGAAGACAGTGTGGCGATTCCTTAAAGATCTAGAACCAGAAATACCATGTGACCTGACAATCCCAATACTGGGTATACACCCAAAGGAATATAAATCTTTCTACTATAAAAAACACATGCACACGTATGTTTATTGCAGCACTATTTACAATAGTAAAGACATGGAACCAACCGAAATGCCCATCAATGATAGACTGGATAAAGAAAATGTGGCACATATACACCATGGAATCTGTGCAGCCATAAACAAGGATGAGTTCATGTCCTTTGCAGGGACATGGGTGAAGCTAGAAGCCATAATCCTCAGCAAACTAATCCAGGAACAGAAAACCAAACACCACATGTTCTCACTCATAAGGGGAGCTGGACAACAAGAACACATGGACACAGGGAGGGGAACAACACACAGTGGAGCCTGTTGGGGAGGAGGGGGTAAGGGGAGGGAGAGCATTAGGACAAATACCTAATGCATGTGGGGCCTAAAACCTAGATGATGCGTTGACGGTGCAGCAAGCCGCCATGGCACATGTATACCTATGTAACAAACCTACGCATTGTGTAAAAAAAAAAAAATTATCACAAGAGAAAAAGAAAGTCATTATATAATAGTAAAAGGATCAATTCATCAAGAAATGTAGCAAATTGTTAATATATATGTGCCTAATTTCCGAGCACGTAAGGCAAACATTGACATAAGTAAAGGGAGAAATAGCAACTCAATAACATTAAGGAAATTTAATACACTACTTTCAATAATGGATAGAAAAAAAACAGACAATGAATCAAACTTGAACAATATTATAAATCAAATTGACTTACTAGACTTATACAGAACATTTTGCCAAACAGAAACTAAGTATACATTCTCAAGTGCAAACAACGTTTTCCAAGATAGATAACATAATAGATAACAAAAGATGTCTGAACAAAATTAAGAAGATTGAATCATATGAAGTATATTTCCTCCCCAACATTGAACGAAACTTTAAATAAATAGCAGAAGAAAAATTTAATGATTTACAAGTATGTTGCAGTTAAATAACACACTTTTGAACAACCAGTGATCAAAAAAGAACTTAAAGAGAAATTAGATATTATCTTGAGGCTCAAAAAATAATGAAACAACATACCAATACTTATCAGATACAGCAAAAGCAGTACTAAGGGGTAAGTTAATAGTGATAAATTCCTACAGTAAAAAAGGAAGGTCTCAAATAAACAACCTAATACCTTCAGAAACTAGAAAAAAGAATAACAAATTAAGCCCAAATTAGCAAAAGGAATGAAGCAAGGAAGATTAGAAGAGAAATAAATAAAATAGGAAATAGAGAAACAGTTGAAAAAAGCAATAAAACTAAGAGGTAGTTTTTTGAAAAGGTAAAGAAAATTGACAAACCATAAGCTAGACTAAGAAAAAAAAATACTCAAATACATAAAATCAGAACTGAAAGAGGAGACATTACAAATGATACCACAGAAGTAAAAACAATCATGAGACTGCTATGAGCAATTATGTGCCAACAAATTGGATAAATTAGAAAGAATAATAAATTCTAGAAGCATACAAACTACCAACAAAATCATAAAGAAATAAAAAAAAATCTAAACAGATCTATGCTGAGTAAGAAGATTGAATGAGTAATTAAAAACCTTTTAACAAAAAAAAAAAAAGCCCAGGAACATTTGGCTTCTCTCATGAATTCTACCAAAGTTTTAAAGAAGAATTAACAACAATGCTTTCTAAACTCTTCCAAAAAATTTAAGAGGAGAAAAAAATTTCAGAACTCATTTATGAGATGGGCATTATCCTAATGCCAAAGCCAGACAAAGATACTACAACAAAATAAAATTAAAAGCCAATGTTCCTGGTGAATATAATTGCAAATGTCCTTAATAAGATACCACCAGACCAAATCAGCAGCACATTAAAAGGATCATTCACTATGATCTGGTGAGAATTCTTGGAATGCAAGAATGGTTGAACATATGAAAATCAATTAATGTGATATACCACATTCACATAATAAAGGATAAAAATTACAAATTTATCTCGATAGATGAGGAAAAGCAGTGTGACAAAGTTAAGCATCTTTTTATTAGAAGAAAAACTTCCCATAAACTATAAATGAAAGCAAATTGCTTCAAGATGATAAAGGCAATATATGAAGGCAACACAGCTAGCATCATTAAACGCTGAAAAAGGGCCCAAAACTGTTAGAGGTCTCACACTTCTTGATTTAAAAACATATTACAGATTATAAAACTATAGTAATTAAAACAGTATGATACTGGCATAAAGACACACATATAGACCAGTGGAACAGAATACAGAGCCTAAAAACAAATTTATGCAAATACAGTCAACTGATTTTTGCAAGGGTATCATGAATACAGAATGGGAAAAGGATAGTCTCTTCAATACATGATGCGGGAAAACTGGATATCCACATCCAAAAATAAATAGGACCCTTATATCATATACAAAAAACAGATTAACAAATTTAAATATAATACCTGAAATTGTAAAATTCCTAGAAGAAAACATAGGGGTAAAGTTTCATGACATTAGTCTTGGCAATGATTTCATAGATATGATGCCAAAAGCAAAGGCAACAAAATAAAAAAATAGAGAAGTGGGACTTCCCTGAACTAAAAACTTGTATACAGCAAAGGAAACAATCAACACAATTAAAAGGCTACCGATGGAATGGGAGAAAATATTTGCAAACCGTATGTCTGAGTTAATGTCCAAAATTTATAAGAAACTCCTACAACTTGATGTCAAATAAACCTAACGACCCAATTATAAATAGACTAAAATCTTGAATAGACATTTCTCCAAAGCAGACATACAAATGGCCAACAGGTACTTGAAAAGAAACTCAATGTCATGAATCAAAAAAGAAATTCAAATTAAAACCACAATGAGCTATCATCCCATTGTTGATTGTTCAGATGGCTAATATTATAAAATGAAAAGACAAGTGAGGATGTGGAGTAATTGTAACTCTTCTACACTGTTGTATGAGAATACAAAATGATGCAACTGCTATGGAAAACAGTATTGAGGTTCCTCAAAAAATTAAAAATAGAATAACCATATGATCCAGCAATCCTACTTTTGTCTATTTATGCACAATAATTGAAATCAGAATCTCTAAGACATATTTGGACTCCTGTGGTTTTTCTGAGGCACTATTCACAATAGCCAAGATCTAGAAACAATCTAAATGTTTATCAATAGATGAACAGGTAACGAAAATGTGATTTGCACAAGCAATGTGATGTTACTCAGCCTTAAAAAGAAAAAGGAGTATTCAGTTACATGTGTGAGTTTTGAAGACATGCTTACTGAAATTAACCAACCACAGGGACAAATACCATATGATTCAACTTATGTGAAGTATCTAAAATTTAAAAAAATCATAGAATCAGAGAGTGGAATGGTGGCTTTCAAGGGCTAGCAGGAGGGGAAAACAGGGATTTGCTAATCAATAAGCATAAATTTTTAGAGACTCAGGATGAGTAAGTTATGGAGATCTGCTGTGCCACATTGTGCCTATAGTTAACAGTACTATAGCGTACAACTTAAACATTTCCTAAGAGGCTAGATACCATGTTGAGTGTTCTTATCACAGCCAAACAAATAAAAATAAAATAAAAAATGAGAAAAGTTTTAATAATGCCCAATATTTACTTTCTCCCTCAATCTTTACCTTCCCTTAAACATTTCATTAAAAAAGTAAACCTCCTCACAGTATCTCAATCACAGGATAAGTCAAAATACATTGTAATTGAGGCTTATCTCCCCTACCGGACAATATATGGGATAGAGACCATGTCCGTTTTCTTCATAATTTTATCTCAGATGTCTTGTATAGGCCATTATTCCATACGAAGGAATTCTCTACTTAACCAGTAAACAGATTCTGGGATTTTAAAAAATAACTCATTTAATCTACAACCCACTGCATTCTGTTTTTCTTGTGCATAATTTCTTTAAAACTATTCTTGCCATGGCCATTTTTCTAAATTCCATGGAAATTTTAAAGGCCCTAATTTACCTGACTATATTATAATAGTTTTAAACTGCTTGACCACACCTGTCTGGAAATTGTCAATTCCTTAATTTACATAAAAATACTGATTTTTCTTCTCTCATTTTTTAGTAATCTTGTATCTCTTTCTCCTCTTCCTTTGAACATGCTAATTATCTTGATATTTTATAGAGTTCCATTTTCAATCCTTCTGTCATTTAATCTCACCTAAAGTATTCCAAAATTTTGAAAGCCATCTACAATGTGAGAAACTTCAGTATAATAATTGTCAGCTTTTCCAAAACCATATAACCTGTTCCCCACTGGATATCCCCATATGAACTTCAAGTTCATTACATACAAAAATAAGCCGATTATCTACCAATCACCTCCTTCTTCACTCTAAGTCTGCTTTAATTCTTTATTCCCTGTACCAGTTTTTGGTCCAGCCTTCCAGCCTGCTGTCAACACCATTAAATAGGAAACCATCATTCAGTTCTCCTTTTTATTCAAGTAATCAGTTATCAAATCCTGTTGGCTCTGTTTGTACTTCTTTATTTGCCTAACTCTTTTTCACTTTTTCCACAACTTTAGAAGTTGCCATCTTCAGTTTTCACTGAAATTATCAAAATAACTTCCTGTACCCCAAATACTTACTTACTTCAACCTATTATTTACATTGCTGCCAAAGTAAATGTATCTACAATATATGATTAAATCATTCCCTATTAAAAATCCTTTAGCTGTTTTTCATTGCCTTTAATAAAAAGGATAACTCACTTAATGAAACTCTCATACTCCTCTCTAAATTAACATCTGGTTCCCCATTCGTTTCCAGTCACCTCTAATTTCCTTTTGGCCACAGTGCCAGACATATTAGGTTGGTGCAAAAGTAACTGTGGTTTTTGCCATTGAAAGTAAACCACAGGTGCTTTTGCGCCAACCTAGTAGGAACTATTCTAAGTCCCACCAGTATACTAGATCTCTCTCTCCTCAAGTTGTTGCATGTGCTTCCTCCTTCCACTTGGACAACTATCTCTGAGATTTCAATCACCATCTCTTTCCTGAAGTTTACTCTAAACTTGCTCTGTCTTCAAAGTTCACCTTTGGGGAACCCTGTATATATTCTATTAACATTCACTGTAGTTCTATCATAGAAATTGTTATCCTGTATTAAGTTCTTCTCTCTTCCTCACCCTTTGCAATATTGCATTATATTGAAACCACGTAAAAGTAAAAATACTTTGTCATTTCTGAAGCACAATTTTGACACAATGCAATTCCTTTATTAGAGACCTCGTTCTTTTTTCTTTTTATAGTCAAGGTCTCATTCTGTCACCCAGGCTGGGGTGCAGTGGCCTGATCATAACTCATTGAAGCCTCAAACTCCTGGGCTCAAGCAATCCTCCTGCCTCAATCTCCCAAATAGCTAGGACCACAGGAGCACACTACCATGCCCAGCTTGTTACTGATTTGGAGTGACTGAAACCAGAATAATAATTCCACCAGAAATTCTCTTTCAGGAGGTACATTTTGGTTTTCAATATTAGTATTGTATGTAAATGTCTGTAGATTTTATTGTTAAAAATTCACTATTTTTTTCCATGTGGGTTTTTGCTTTTAAAAAGTGCTGTCTATGGATGTAGATAATTTATAGGAATTTGTTAACTTTTTCAGACTAGTTATAGTTTATTTTTATACACATGGTGATCATTCATTAAATGACCTCCTTTTCTCTGAAAGTGTTCATGCTCTTGCATATATATATCTCTCTTACACTTTACCTGGAAGTTATATTTAAACTAATAAATTATGTGCTGTGAAATTCATTCAACTGGTTTGAGAAAACTGTAGGAAACTCTTAACAATGTTTTAATTGTTTCCACTGGGTGTATTTGTCTATAATGGAAAAGCTAAAGAACTCAAACCTTAATGTGTTTCCTTACTATGTGGTGGAAAACAATTTTGAAAGTTAAACACAAGGTTAGGAATACAACAGAGAGACAGAGGTTGAGCTTTTGATTCAGAAAAGGGAATTCATGACATTCTAAAATTGTGATTCATCAAATTTGAAATTTCTTTCATCTCCCCTTTGTGTATAGGCTCAACAATACTACTATCTGGGGACATAATACAATATTATATGATACTAAGTACCTAAAAATACAGAATATCAAATTACAATAATTTTGTATAAATATTTGAGAGTTATTTGAAAAAATGTCATTATTTTGAAATTCATTGTTGTAATTAGCACCATCTTAATATGTGTCTTACTTTTGGGAATGATTCATAAACTATAATATTTAAATAATGTTTCCACTGATATTCTTAGCAATTTTTATTTTAGATTGATTGGACTGAACTCTTTGGAATGGATTTACATTTCTATTTATTAATATAATATACATATGTTCCTTTTGTAAACAGTCAAATGGAGTAGGAATAGATATTTCTGACATAAAGCTGACTGAGCCAAAAGTTAAAATGAAACTGATATGGTGAAATAAAACCGGTTCTATATTCATTTTTCTGCCTACTGGAAAATTGGGATATCTGATATAATGCAGAGAATTAGTGATTTCAGTTTCCGAAAAAGATGTAAACATCTTTTGATGTTGTTGTTATATAGAATTTTGATACTGGGGCATTGCAATCTGCAGAGTTAGTATTGGACAATGTGTGCCACATTAGATGTGTTAATTTCATGCAGGATGTAGTATTAGTATCATTACATTGCCCTCGTAAAGAATGTCACTCATTATTTCACTTAATGGTTATGCCCTGAAAACTCCGAAGGCCCTGGTGGATATTTTCATTAAGGTGACATCTAGGGACAGTTAATGAGAATGGCTTGAGAAAGTTGGTTTCCTTTTAGGTAATGTACGAAAAGTAAAAACCAGAGGAAAATAAGGTATTTATCTAAGTGACTTTGTTTATTCAAGGGTTTAATTGTGGTTCTTATTGCAACTTACCTTAGACCTTTCCCTATGTGTTTACCAGGTTCCAAGAGACATTATTTATCCTTTAGCAGAATCTTTATATCCTGAAGTTTCATTTTAAAGATTATTTTCTGTTTTTATTTTATTTTCTGGTTTACCCACAGCCTTGCCGCCTTCCATGTTAAAGTCTTGTATTCATTTATTCCTCCTTGAAATTATATCTATCAATTTCTAGGCCATATGCTCTGGATAACTCATTTTGATGGGTGCTCGAAATTGTAAATGTTAACCACAGTAGAAAAAGAAATTTTAACGTGTGCAAGCAAATGTTCTCGAACATCAGCAGTAAAAAAAATCCCAACTAAAAACTCCTACCAAAGACAATTTGATCATAAACCTCTCAAGCAGAAAATTGGCAATCACTGTAGAAACAATTCCTCAGGAAGGTATTCAACTTTCAAATAACCCTGAAATAAAGCAACCCAATGACCTTTGCTTTCCAAAGATGAAACCTTACTCCTCCCTTCATATCAGGATCCTCTAGAAAGCAAGCCTTGGGTAAAACAGGAAGAGAGTCACCGGGAGGTGTGAGCCTTCTGTAATGCATGGAAGGTAAAAATACGTGCTCCTTCTTTACTGAACATTAAAGAGGATTCAATTAGTTCCAAAGCCTTTGGGAAATGGTACAGGTTTGAATGGTATCAGTTGTATCAAGATCATAAAGACAGACACCAGGGCTCATTAAGCACTCAGCGAATGGAAGTATGCCCCTAGCTTTTTATACAATTCAACACAACTGGTCCTAGTCTGGAATCATTAGGAATATAATCAAGAAACAGCAGTGAATTTTTTGTTGTGTTTCTTTCAGTTTACTTTTAAAGATTATCCTTAGCATTTTAGACATTTGGTAGGTGTAGTATGTCCCTAAGTCTCTGCTCCTTTAACACTATATGCTTATGTCATATGCATACATTATACTTATGCATAAAAATATATTCAGACTCCACTGTTTCTTCTTTCACTTCAACATGAATTCTAGATGATTACATTTGAATATATGTGTGTATATATATATTTTTCAGCTGCTAATAACTTCTACAATAAATATGAATTTGAATTTAGAAAAGACATTGGGAATTATAGAAAATGTACTGTGACATTTACCTTAAACCATCATGACAAAACTCACTTCCCACAAGTCACTAAGATAACCATATCATAATTGAAAAATTAAATATAACCTAAACATTTAAATGTGAAAATATACCTGCCCCATAATAAACAAATCAGAAAGCATATAAATATGTATTGTGGAGGGAAAATCCAAGTCCTGTTTTCTTACATTTATGATATACTCAATTATAAAATGTTGTTTATCTTTGTCTTTCCTAACCTACTATTTTCATGAAAAGGAGATTTCAGATTACAATATTTTAAAGGCAACAACATGTAGGAAATTGTACTATGAACCAAAGACAACCACAAAAATTGAAATGTACTTAAGAACTCAAAGCTATATATAGTATGTATAGGTGGACAAAAAGATCCATTCACCTCACAACTGTAAATCTCATCAATTAGAGGGCAGAAAGGAAACAGGCAAATGTAGAGGGTGGAAGGAGCCACTGACCTAGGTTGGAGTTCTAGGCTTCCCAGTGCTTTCTGAACGTGATTCTCTAGGATCCTCAGTTCATCTCTTTCATCTCTAAAGGTTTATAAATATAAGTGATTATGAGCTTGATTCTTCAGATTTTTTTTTTTTTTTTTGAGATGGAGTCTCACTGTCGCCCATGCTGGAGTTCAGTGGTGCCATCTCTGCTCACTGCAATCTCTGCCTCCAGGGTTGAAGCAATTCTCCTGCCTCAGCCTCCGAGTAACTGGGATTACAGGGGCCCGCCCCCATGCCCGGCTAATTTTTGTATTTTTAGTAGAGACGGGTTTCACCATGTTGGTCAGGCTGGTCTTGAACTCCTGACCTCAGGTGATTCGCCAGCCTTGGCCTCCCAAAGTGCTGAAATTACAGGCATGAGCCACTGCGCCTGGCCCAGAAAACATTTAGCATATGTATACTGTCTTGTTTGAGGAAACAGTATCATGTTATGTGAAAGAGATTTTTTTTAAAACTCCATTAAAAATGTGTAAAAAAGAAGTTAGCATTAGTGATTAAAGTGCATTAGTTCCAATTATTCAAAAACTTTTACGTATGTATAATAATTTTTTAAAACAGTGAGCAATTTAGAAGCCGCCACTGCATTTCAACCAGAATTTAAAAGAGATTTTATTACTTTAAGTGTAAAAGTATATATTACTAATGCCTACTCAAGTACTTAATATAAAATATAACATGTTTTATTTTTAAAAATTAGGCTATTGTATCTAGTTAGATATGTACTCTATCAATCCCAATTCCCTCAGGAATTTGAACAAAATAGCATTAGACTGAAAATGCTAACCAAGAATGCCTCTGCAGCAATAGAACGTATAAGGTGACAATAAATTTTCTAGAAAGCTGTGCAGGTTATAAAAGAACAGTTTCATTGATTGATTCATCTGAATTTAGGTATGTTAGGTATGCAATTTTCATGATAAAATGTTAGTGTGCAATTCAGGAACAGAAGTGGTTGCCAATTTGAAATACGTTTCTTATTGAAAAATCTACTGAACAGATGTTTGATCACCAATAAATCCTGCCATTTATATCATGTTTTTATTTTGTTTTGTTTGTGTTTATCTGAGGCAGGAGTAATAAGCCAATTGGCAGAATAAGACACTTGGGTTCTGCCCTTGGCTTTACCTTTAATTGTCTTGATGGCTCCATGCAATTGAGTGGGTTGCATTAGAGGTTTTGACTTATGACTGTTAGACACTCCCAGTCTCTGAAATAGTACTTGTTTATGAAGAATATGTTGGAAAACATGGCTAGCAGAATTATCTAGGGTGATTTCTTTCTACCAATGAATGTTCCTGATTTTCTTCCTGTCTGAATTTGCCCTTTCCCAACATAGCCATTTCTCCAATCACTTCTGCTTCTCAATTATCTAGGACAACTTCACACTTAGACTGTGATTTCTTCTCTGGGTCTTCCCACCCAATCAAACTTCAGTAATTCTCTTTGGCTCCAGTTTCCTTATAATTCACATCTCTAATTCTTTTGTCTCCTATGTATTATATTTTTTCTTTGCTTTTATTCTTAAGTACTTTTAATCCAAGTACTTAAGGGTTTGACAGATTCAGCATCGTGTTAAGGTGACACAATACTTCTACTACTACTATAGTGTATCAAATAAATGCCCTTGTAGGAAGAAATCAGTCAATTTACTTTATATTGTTTTATTCAGGTAGTTACCACTTTCAACCAATAGGTGGAGAGACCTTTACAGAGTGATTTGAAGTGTACTGAGAGCGCCACCTCTCAAAAATTCTAAGCCATGTAATTCCTGTATGTCATTAAGGAATGCTCCTATATTCAAAGGGACATAACCTATATTCAAAGGGACCTCATAGAAGGGAGGTATGCTATTTTTTCAGTTATGAATTTATTGCAGTGAGCCCTTTGGAGTTTTCAAATGTGGGAAAGAGTTCAGAACTACAATTTACATGATAAGACAGAAAATAAGGGAACATTTGAAAAGTTACTAATCAGGGAATTGCTGAGGGAGGCCAACCCACCTACACAGGCACTGCAAGTCGGATTTTGTAAAGCCAGAGGACAGCATGAGAATAAAGGAAACAACAATAACAACAGATGGCAATTGAAAAGTGATACAGTTGAAATATGTGGGGGGGCTCTGTGTCTCATTTCAGAGTCTTTATAACTTAAACTTCATACCAATTTTTGTGAAAAATAATTATAGATCTACATTTTTTTCCCTTTCAAATTGGGTGGTAAACATTGCAGGGCACATTTTGATATACAAGAGTCAACTAGTAATTGATACTGTTTTGGTGGAGGAAGATGAGACTCCAAGCTGCTTTTGAAGAAAGGTTCTACCCTTTCTTGCCTTAATTTCTGTGCGCGAGTGGAAAGTTGTACATGCTTAGAAGAAGACTAAACTTTTAGATTTGCTTAATGTAGCTACAAGTCTGACAGACTCATTCTGGGTTTCAGGACATTTGAATCTCCCTTTTTTATAGTAATTCTGTATTTCTGCCTCCTATTTAAAAGAGCAAGTTGGAACTAGCTCCTATGTGGCTTCTGTCAAAGGTGCAGTGATACTGGGAGGAAATTCTTATGCTTATATAACTTATATGACTCATATATATCCTTGGATCAAAATACATCTTACAAAGTATAACTTAATATTTTAGTGCAACATGAAACTACTTAGAATGAAATCAGTTTTGAAATCCAGTTTATATCAGGCTAGATTATGCTGAGATAATTTTAAAAACCTCCCAATCTCAGACTTTAAACTACTCAGATTTTATTTCTTATTCATGCTTTATGCCCATTATGAGTCTCCAGTTTTCTGCATTATTCTAACCCTCATACACAGGCTAAGAAATGGGTACCATACTGAGCATGGTCATTGCACCACGACGGAAAGAAAAGAAAGCTCTAGAGGACCCACACAGGCAATTAAGTAACACAGAGCACTCACATTTAACAACCATTAACTAAAGTATTCACATGACTGGATGACCACAGTGAGCAAAGAAGTGCTGTCATCACTCATGTCTAGAATAAGAATTAAAAATATTCAGGGAGTAGAAATATAGCCACCACAAATCTAAATTGCTTAAAACATATATATATATATAAAATAGTAATTACATGGTCATTTAGGCCACATTTGCTATATGCATAATACTAAGAATATTTTTTACATGAATTAGAATCTACTATATACGATACACGTGAGGATTTTATTTTAAATATCAAGAAAACTTTCAGTTTTGTTTTCCATATCCAGAGATTTATTTCCTATCTAGTGTGGTTCAGTGTATAATTGATACGGTTTCCCTTTTTGCCATGGCTGCCAGGAAACAAGATACATTTGAAACTCAATCATAGCAATTTTGTTGAGCTTTAGAATGGTAAGTTTTCTTATGTTGTTTTGCATTCCCTAGTGTATAATTTCTATTTGTATTTTTAATATAAATATTTACTTATTCTGCTATTTGTTGTCAAAAGCGTGACATTTTTGTAGAAAAAAAACACAAGCAAAAACCAAACCAATCCAAATGGAAACATAAAAGTTTTGAAAAACCCTTCTAAATAACTATGAAATAAATGAAGAAATCAAAACTAAACTCAGAAACTATTAAAAAAGGAATGATAACAAAAACACAGCATAATACATACCAACATGTATATGAATAACAAAATTTGCAGAAGAAAATATCATGGCATTAAGTGCATAGCATAGCAATTTCCTTTAACAATTGATTATAAATGGATAAAAATAAAGGATAGATAATAATAAAATAAAAATACGTAAATATATGAAATAATAAATGCAAAAAAACCTGGTTATTTTTTAAAGATAAATAGATCAAATATATCTGGAAATTCTAAAAAAAAATTACAGAAAAGCAAATGAGAAACACTGACAATGAGAAAAGGCAATGGAAACAAGGAGAAATAATATAATTAGAAGAGGATATTTAGGATAAATATTAGGCTAAACATTTGAAACAATAGATCAGATGAATCTGTGCTAGAAAAATATGTCATGATAATTTGGCTCTACAGAAACCATAATTTCTTAATCTGAATAATGTAAATGCTCTTTACTTGTCCTGAACTTCTAAAGTCAATTCTAAAGTCAATAGAATCCACCAATATCTCTAGGATTTTATTCCAAATCCCTCTCATATATTGTACAATTTTGATTTATCCCCATAAAGCATGAGAGCTATGTCAAGACTATTACCCGTCCATAGATTTGATGATATTAATACATGGGAATCTGGGGCAAAAGTAACAATTAAGTTTGTTTATTTAATCTTAATGGGTTGAGAGAAAATATAGTAATATTTATAACCAAAAATATATTAGTAGTCAGAACCACAAAAAAATGCTTCTAAAAATCAATATGAGCAAAGGGTATTAATAATTTATAAATAAATAAAGATATAAAATAAAAGATAATTCCTAAACATACTCATAATGATGGCGTACAAATTAAAATACAGATACAGTATTCCTTATTGCTCTTCAAAATGTAAAATATTAAGTACATTGATGAGTATTTCAACTGTAAAGCTCTTATGAAAAACAAAATCTAAACATGCAGGGATTTTACTTTGTGCTTCCATTTCCAGGAATCTATACTACCAGAATAATCACATGTGTTCAAATATGATCAGTGAAGCATTGCTTGTAATATTGAATGATTGGAAAAATCCCAAATTCATCATCAACAAATAATTGATTAAATTCATCATGGTTCATTTACCCCTCAAATTACTAGAATCATCTGAAAATAACAAGTAGGTAGATATACATGCATTAGCACATAAAAATTTTTAAGAGAGTATAAAGAAAAAATGTCAAGTGCAATAAAACCCACATAGAATAATACATATATTTTAAAATATATAGATATACGTGAACATATATGCTTTTATACATGAAATTATGTATGTAGAAATCCATCTATCTATCTATCTACACATATATATGAAAACATATGCATGTAAATATATGGTGGCATAAATGCAAATGTATGCTTCTAAAAATATATAAAGGAAAGAAGACATCTTAAAATGTTGACAGTGGTTATTGCTGAGGAAGAAAATGAAAACAGAGACTGAGGACAGGGCAGGAAACATTTTTCTATTTATCTTTACCCTTTGGCTAAATCTTTTCAAAGCATGTTTATGTAGCTTTTATTTAACTATTAAAATAAACGTTTTAAAAATATATATTATTTATATATATTAACTATCCACAACAGTTTCAATTTTATTTTTTTAAATCCATAGATCGGCCGGGCATGGTGGCTCACGCCTGTAATCCCAGCACTTTGGGAGGCCAAGGAGGGCGGATCATGTCAGGAGATCAAGACCATCCTGGCTAACTCGGTGAAACCCCGTCTCTACTAAAAATAAAAAAAATTAACCGGGAGTGGTGGCAGACGCCTGTAGTCTCAGCTACTCGGGAGGCTGAGGCAGGAGAATGGCGTGAACCCGGGAGGTGGAGCTGGCAGTGGGCTGAGATCCAGCCACTGCCCTTTAGCCTGGGCGACAGAGCAAGACTCCCTCTCAAATAAAATAAAATAACAACATAACATAACATAACATAACATAACATAACATAACATAACATAACATAACATAACATAACATAAATAAAATAAATAAAATAAAATAAATAAAATATCCATAGATCAACAATCATTTGTAAACTACATTGCTCTTTTTAATAAATAGATGAGAAACATACCTAGGCCCTGTAGCTTAACTCATAGGTCCCAGGGAGGGTAACATTTGACTCTCTTCCCCTAAGCCTTGAGGAGTTGAGCAGATAATTCAGTGTCCCTCTTCTCACCTGTTCCACCCAGAGCTGGTCTCTCATGAGTGTGCTAGAGCCAGGCAATCATCTTTGCCACAGTCTCTCTCACATGCACCACACACCCCAGAGTAGGACTCGCAGAATGATGTCACGCTAAGGATCATGGAGAACGTGTTTTGGGTTTGGGGATGGGGGCATTATGGTATATGTTGAAAGGAAACCCTCAAACCTGTACTCATACACCTCTAACCCTACACCTCGACTCTTCCTTCTCATACCTGGCTGTCATTGCACCAGACCATTTTTGGCCATGAGACACCTTCCACACTTCAGGCCAGCTCACGGTAATTCACCTTGATGGAGCTTTTATTTTTCTTCTTTTTTTTTTTTTTTTTCAATTTGCCTTTTGAAGGACAAAGTCTGCTTTTTCTGCCCACACATTGACCCAAGGGTTCATTTAACTCAGGAGGGAAAGGGCTATTTTTAAGTATCTTTCTGTGTTAACTTGCTGTTACGTGTACTTCTGTTACCTGATACGTCCGTTTTGCTTTATCTGTGTCACTGTCACTTCAGCAGAAATACAGTGGCCATTTGTGTTAGGAAAAAAGGGAAACATAGCTTCTTGTATATTAAGGTTTTTCTTTATAATATATTGCAAAAGATAAATTCCTAGGTTTATATTTTTGGGGGTTGAGTTGTGGCCAACTTTTAATTTGATAAGTAAAAGTTTAGTTCTTATTTGATATTGCATGTTCCCTGAGAAATTCACCAAAACTGTGCCAACTTGAAAACAACATGCAAAAAGAAGGATTTTAGAGTGCTCACTCTATTAAATAAATTATAATTTGAACATTTACCTCAATATACCAGTGTATGCAAGTAAGATTTTTTAAACTACAAATATCAGAAAGAAGTGATATAAAAATGACAAATTGTGGTGTAAAAATTCCATGTATGTGGAACTAAATATTTCAGAATCTCATAAGTTATGACCGAATATTTGAGGTTTGGTCACTTTCTCATGGATCATGAATGTTCTTAATGGCATCTTGAATAGTGAATTCTTTCCAGAGTATTTTCAATTTGCTTTACCAAGATCCATCAGAGGAATCACTATCTATAGCAGCTATTGCCTTTAAAATTGTGTTTCTTAACTAATAAGACATGAAAGTCAAAATGACTCCTTGATCCATGAGCTACAGAATGGGTGTTGTATTAGCAGAATGAAAATATTAATATCTATGTACATTTCCATCAGAGCTCTCGGTTGACAGGTACGTTGTCAATGAGCAATAATATCTTGAAATAAATGATTTTTTCTCAGCGTTAAGTCTCAACAGTGAGTTTAAAATATTCAGTAAGCCATGCGGTCAACATATGTGCTGTGATCCAGGCTTTGTTTTTCCATTTATAGAGTATAGGCAGAGTGGATTTATCATAATTCTTCAGTATCCTGGGATTTTGTGAATGGTCAATGAACATTGGCTTCAAAGTAAAGTGACCAGCTACATTAACCCCTAACAAGAGTCATCATGTCCCTTGAAGCTTTGAAGTCAGTCATTGACTTCTCTCCAGCTATGAAAGTCCTAGATGTCATCTACTTCCAATAGAAGGCTATTTTGTCTACATTGAAAATCTGTTGTTTAGTGTAGCCATCTTCATCAATGATCTTAGCTAGAACTTCTAGATAACTTGCTGCAACTTTTCCATTAGCGTGTGATTCTTCACCTTACGCTTCATGTTATGGAGATAGCATCTTTCCTAAAACCTCATGAAACAAATCTGCTAGCTTCTAACTTTTCTTGTACAGCTTTCTCACCTCTTAGCCTTCATAAAGTTGAAGGCAATTAGAGTGAGGGCCTTCTTTAGGTCAGATGTTGGCTTAGAAAAATTTTGTGGTTGGTTGTATTTTCTATCCAGACCACTAAATCTTTCTCCATACCACCAATAAGGTTGTTTGGTTTTCTTATTACTCATGTGTTCAAAAGAGTGGCACATTCCATTTCTTTCAACAACTTCTCCTGCATTCAAACTTGGCTATTTGGCATGAGAAGCCTTGTTTGTGACTCATCACAGTTTTTAACATGCTTTCCTTACTAAGCTTTTGTAGTTTTTGATTTAAAGTGAGAGATATGCAACTCTTCCATTCACCTGACACTTTAGAGATCATTGTAGGTTTATTAATTGGCCTAATTTCAATATTGCTGTATCTCAGGAATGGGAAAGCCTGAGGAAAGGGAGAAGCCGTGGGAAGAACCAGTTGGTTGAGCATGAGAACACAAACATACATTGATTAAGTTCATTATTTTATATGGGCATATTTTGCAGTGCCCCCAAACAACTACAATGCTAACATCAAAGATCACTGATCACAAGTCACCCTAACAGATATAACAATAATGAAAAATTTGAAATATTTCAGGAATTACCAAAATGTGACATAACAAGTGCACACATGCTGTTAAAAAAAATGACACCGAAAGACTTGCTGGATGCAGGTTTCCACAAATCTTCAATTTGCAAAAGCAAACAAACAAAAACAAAACACTATGAAGCAAACTAAAGTGAAGTGGAATAAAATAAGGTATGGCTGTATAGCAATTAATGAAAGCATTTTCTTAAGTTAGTAATATATTACATTTAGTGGATGCTTAAAGATATTTTTATAGTAAATTCAACTTGAAGCTAGTTGTCACCTAGATTTGATTATATAGTCTGGTCAGCTCATTTTTCACTTTAAATCTATGCATCACGTAATAGCACATTTGTATAATTTCCTTGTGACATTTACTTAGGAGTTGGGATTTCTTTTCTGTAAAGATAACTTTCATGTTAAATGGTCAGCTTATATGCAAATATTTTAAATTTCCTCAATCAGTTCTATCTCTATAGAGCTCATAATTAATGTTCATAAGGCAGATTTAATTAAGAGGATGCCAAAGAAGTGTACGTTGGACCTGAGTGATTTGGGAGTAGGATTGTTTTCTATGTGCATTTCAAATTTGTAATTAAGCAAAATAGCTTTGGATAGAAAAATGATTTACTGTGCTTAACCAAATACCCACATTTTTGAACAAATTGTAATTTGCATATTCTAGGTAATTTGCATTTAAGAGCCTGTGCTTTGAGTTCTGTACTACGCTATTTGAATTCAGGTAAGCAGGCAGGCAAATAGCACAATGTATCAATTTTTGTGATTAAAAATGAGCAGCCAAACACTGTTTATAAAGTGCCCATGAACTGTTATAGTGATCTACCAAGGGTCATGCTGGCTGCTGGAGGTATAATTAGTATGCTCAAAGAAAAACCACCATGTCAGTGATAAGGATATAATAAGTGAAGGGAGGTGAAACCAAAGAAAATAATTATATTTGTGGACTTCAAAATTATTATTTTATTAGGATATAAATTAAGTCACCCCGAAGATGTAGAACTTTATTACTGTATGTGATCAACTTTGATTATATGTAATCATAAATTGTTAGATGTAATATAATGTTTGAACTATTGAACTAGTATTTTTTTCTTTAGGTTTTAATTAAACATGATCCTAATATAGAATCAACAACCAGGGCATGAAATCACACTTTAGAACATGATCAAACAAAATATGTGCATAATTAATCAGGCAATAAACATTCAATGCAATTAATTAGTACAGGCCAAAAATAAAGTCACAGGAGAATTTTAGTATAATTTTAAGTACTTTATATTCATAAAAAATTTCAAAAATCATTTTATAGTTTTTGAAGTTAATCTTTAAGATCTTTTTTGGTTTGTGACCAAAAGTTTTGTAGTTTTACAAGAGTGAATACTTCCCCCTTTCCCCACTCCTTTTTTTTTTTTTTTTTTTTTTTTTGGACACAGGGTCTCACTCTGCTGCCAAGGCTGGTGTGCAATGGGGTGATCAGGACTCACCACAGACTTGACCTTCTGGTCTCAAGTAATCCTCCCAAAACAGCCTCCTAAGTAGCTGGGACCACAGACATATGCCACCATGCTTGGCCAACTTTTATTATTTTATTTTATTTTATTTATTTATTTATTTATTTATTGTGGAGATGGGGTCTCCCTATGTTGCCCAGGCTGGTGTTGAACTACTGGGCCTCAAACGATCCTCCTGCCTTGGGCTCCCAAAGTGTTGGGATTACAGAAATGAGCCACCATGCCCAGCCTGAATACTCTTCTGTCACTAAAAATTATGTTTAGTAATAATCCAATCATTGTGATGCTGTCTTTACCAAATCATTTTTATTACAGGGCTCAGATGAGACATTAAAACAAAAAAAATGTTTATTTTCACAGGAGGCTGTGTGGGGAGGATTGCTTGAGACCAGAAGATCAAGACTGTGGTACAACAGCCTTGGCAGTGGAGTGAGACCCTGTGTCAAAAAATAAAAAAATAAAAAAATAAAAAGGAGTTGGGGAAGGGGGAAGTATTTACTCTTATAAAACTACAAAACTTTTGGTCACAAACCCAAAAAAATTTATTTTCATTGTCAATCCCAGTGCCATATCAGCAGCTCTTTTCTCCCCTCTAGATAGCCTAGATAGCCTATTCCTCCTTTCTGCTTAAGTCTTGACTGCATTGAAGCTAGTGTGGTGTACATTATTTACCACTTAAAAGTATATTTTAAGTCACAGTGTACCTTTTTTTTATAGTGTTTTCCAAAATAAAGGGTTCATCTTAAAAACACTTAAGTAAAAATAATTTGGATGTAATTAACAATATTGTACTTTAATTTTCATTTAAAATTAAAAGTATATTTCAAAGAAAGGGTAAAATTAAGTTGAAAATTAGCCATAATGACAATAAGCTGTTCTGAGAGAAAACTAGTAAAATGTCTTGCTCAACGTGTAATGGTGTTCACATTGCAGCTTCTATGGTGAAATTCACCTATTCAACTGACTGTATTCCTTAAGAATATACTGTCAGGAGAGACAGGCAGTTCTTTCATGAATTCACTATTCATTTAACAGCTTGTTTAGCAGTGAAAAAGACAGAAATTAATTATCACCCAATTAAATACAAAATTACAATTTAAAATAATATGATAAAATGAATGTTTCTTCTTATATTCTGTCAGTGATTTTTGCATTCATCTTAAATAATTATTATTTTCAAAATCCCTAACATGTTAGATACTCATAAAAAGAGTTTTACCTATGAGTAACATGTTGCTTATTTTAACAGCCTTAAACATAATATTTTTCATAAATATATGTAGTACATTCTTTCATTTTAGAACAGGTTTAACTTTTTCTGTATAGATGTTTTAATATTATAAATAGTATTAACATATTTCAGGATTTCAGTACAGTTACTGCATTTGTAAATTTCAATATCGCTATTATTTGCAAATTAATACATACCATTTGAAATTATTTTTTTCTGAACGTGATAAAGCTTCAGGAAAAGTCCTAATAATTATGTGCATGTATACATAAAAGGTCAGAGTTTAATTCTAGAATATTATTTATTTTCTTTTGTTTCATGAGAGAACAAAACTGGAGTCTTGGTAATTTAATTTTTTTCTTTTAATGTTAAATTTAGATTTTGCAATTCAGTGTGACAGTTACAAATAGCTTATTTAGAATATCACAAGATCATTGGCGATACTTGTTAACTCTAGGGAAAGATTTTAATACCTTTCATTTAATTATGATCACCATACATTCTCTAAATATATTGGGATGCTGGATAAAGTATTTATTGGGAAAATTGATAAGTAACATTATTAAATTACATTTTAAATATTTCCTATTAAATACATACACATAATGAAATAATTTTAATCCCATTTTCATCCCTTTCTTCCATCAAACCTTCCAGCTGTTTTCATTTGTTATACTTTCCATTTCTATCTCCAGCTGTGATTTGGAACCCATTCAGAAAGTTGAAAAATTATAATGATCTCTCATGCATTTACAGAAACAAGTGTAATTTATTAGAAAAGAAAAGTAATTTATTAGAAAAGAAAAGAATGGAATTGTCAATTTAACCAGAACTATAGCTATGAATATCACTGTGAAGAATAAAAGCTTTTGTTTCACTCAACACAAGCTCACAATACTTTTTTTTTATGAAGAGTTTCTGTCCTCAGAAAACATTGAATAGATGAGTGCTAGCTCAAGTAAAAGGCATTTGTGATAACTTCAGGTATAATTGTCATCTATTTTCCTGTATCTATTTTCTTCTTTTTTTTCCATTCTTCCCCATTTATATCCCACTCTTTCTATAAAAATAGAATTTAACCTGAACACTCGTTCAAGTACTCAAAAAAATGTGTAAATTTAGCCAGGCAATAACCTCAAAATAAAGGTATCAACTATAGAAGTGATAGGGATTTTTAAATACATTCTCTGGCAATTTTAGCAGAGAAAGTAAAAAACAAAAACAAGAGACTATCTTGTGTGAAGTAATATTTATAATCTGATCTGAAGAACTGAACATTCATATCACAAACTCTGGCAGTTTCTCTGACCACCTGACTTTATATTCAGCCTCTTTCAACACTTGAATAGGCATCACAAAATTAATACATCCCGAAACGATTTCCCAATACTCTTTTCAAAAAGAACCTATTTCTTTCACAATATTTTACATCGTAGTAAATGACAACATTGTTCTTACAGGTGCTCAGGCTCTTTCTTTCACACTCCCCATGTAATTTATCAGTAAATACTATAAATGCTCTCTTCAAAATATATCCAACACCTATTACTTCTCACTACTCCATCACTACCATGCAGTTTCACATTGTTCTCCATCTCCTCTATAATTTCTTCCCAACTAATCTCTGTGATTCTCTCCTAGCCTCATCTAGCAGCTATAGGGCCCTTTAGAAACATAAGACAATTGACAATATTTCATTTTTCCTTTTTGTGACAACATTAAGTGAAATGGCCCAGGCATAGAAAGACAAATACTGTTATGTCCTCACCCATATGTGGAATCTAAAAGGTTTCATGCCATAGAAACAGAGTAGAATGGTGGTTACCAGAGGCTGGGGTAGTTAGGATAGGTGGGGGAAGGGGAGATGTTGGTCACAGGATATGTAATTGTAGTTAAGCAGGAGGAATAAGTTCAATAAATCTATCATACAGCATGGTGACTATAGTTAATGACAATACTATATTCTCAAGAAATGCAAAGATAATGGATGTTAATTAAGTCTTCTCACCCTAAAATTGGTAACTATTTGTTAATTAGCTAGATTTTACTGTTCCACAATGTAGGTATACTTCAAAACGTCACGTTGTACATGATACATACATACAATTTCATCTGTTAATTTGATAAATATATAAACAGGCGGATCATGTAATTCATTTTCACAAACCCACCAGAGCTCCCAGTTCATTCAGAGACAAGATCTTCTAATGGTTAATGATATCCTACATGGTCACTCTGAACTCAACTTTTTGACATTCTCCTCCTCATCCATTTTTTTCCTACCACAGCAACCTCTCAATTCTTACAACTCACCCAAGCAATATTTCTGTTATGAGCCTTTCCAGCAGATCTTTTCAATGCCTGAAGCTTCTTCCCTCACACCTCCCTATGACATACTGCCTTGCTTCTTTCAACTCTCTGCCCAAATCTCAGTCCCTCAGTAGACCTTTCCTAACTTTATTTAGCACCCCACACATATTTTCTCTTGCTTTCCCTTCCTGATTTTTTCCCTATATTTTCATCCCAATATGAAAATTCCATGAGGGAAGGAATTTTTCTATTTTATTCACTGCTGTATGTACTGTTCTTGGAAAATGTCTAATCATGCAAGTGTTCAGTAAATACATATTGAATAAATGAAAATGTTTATATTTTAAATGACATAAAGGTAACTTTAAAGAAAATAATCAAAGAAAAGTAAGAGTTTTCATTACACTGTTTTACCTTCCTATTATTTTCACAGTAATTAACTATAGAGAATTACTTATAAATGCATTTGTTGCTCTGAGATTTTTATGTCATCTTGACAGCAAGATAGATACTATGAAAATAGAGGAAGGAAAGAAGTTGGGCTTAACCAATGTAAAGAAATCTAATGATAAATATAGTATAAATGAATTTTAAATGTAAAGGATATCATATTAAAAATATAACATGTATGCCTTAACCACACTCTAAGAAAGATAATGAACTGAAATCACCTGTGATTAACTACATGACATTTTAGGGATCTATTTTTTTCTGTAGTCAGTCTTTTTATTTTTCAATATTGAATACAAACCAACATATTTAAGGTCCAAAAGAGATTTGTTATTGCTTATTTTTCCTCTGCATGTCTCTATTTAGTAATTTCCCTGTGAGAATTTAAGTATTGTAAACGTATTTTGAAGTAAGCTTTCAACCATATATATGTCAACTTTGCATTGTTGATCATTTGGAAGATTTTTAAAGAGTGGCAGAAATTATAGTTACAGATAGTCTAACTCAAAGTGAGAAGAAAAGAGTAATTTTTTTATTTTTTAAATAAAGATACTAAAAAGAACCAAGAAAGTAAAATTTAAAGTATAATGGCACATATGATATACTATTTTATATATCCTATACTGTGTTGAGACTTTCTATTCAACAAATTTACTTTAGGCTTTTCTAGGAAGTATTTTTCTGTCTATTCCCATGACGAAAATTTCATCAGATTTCCTTAGGGATTTGAATTCTTAATTGGAGAATTCCATATGAAGTGATACGGAAAGATCTCCAGATTATTTAAAAAACAAGCAAGCAAACAACAACAAAAAACCTTCACAACAGTGTGTACAGGATGCAATATTTTATGTAAGAAAAAGAAACTTAAGACTATGTATTTGTATATCACTTGCATGAAGACACTAGAAGGATACTCAAAAATAACAAAAGTGACTTGCTGTTTGAAAAGGGATTAAAGTTTATGGGAGCAGAGGCCAAGACAAATGTACCAGTGGATAATTTCTATACCATTTACCTTTTAAAACATATGAATATATGACTTACAAATAATTTTAAAGGCCCTCCATATAATATTATATACTTTCTCTTGATTCTGGGACACATTTGATTCTGATACACTTTTGAAAAGTCTATTCTGATACACTTTTGAAAGATGTAACCAAACAGCTCTTCAATTTACTGTGTTTTAATTGTTTACAGTCATAGCATCCTGCTTGGACCAGGGCAGTGGCATGAAGCCCAGCACAGGAAGTAACTTAGAGGAATTTCTTACTTTATAGTTGATAGATAAGACATATCAGTGACTCAGCTGTCTTTACTAATTAATTGAAAACTGATATAGCCAGAATACCTTTATAGTATTAATATTTGAAAATGAACACGTCTAAAAATGAACTATGACTACTGGAATTTTCTTAGATAAGGGATAGCGACAAGACAGAACTTATCAGTGAATTATAAAAGAAAAACTTATGAAATAGTTGACTTTATTTTTTTTTAAATAATCAACAGGGTGAGTCACATGTTGTGAAGATGCACACTGCTTCTCACTTTTTGCCACTAAAATAGGACAGGTTTTATCTCTGACTTGGAAATTCATGAAATTACTTTCCTATAAAACAACAGAAAAAATGATACAGAAATGTAGCTGAATGTATAGGCTACAGTTTGGCAGTAGTGCCCGTAGTGCAATTTTCAACAAAGAGTATTTAACCACCACGAACAGCAGATAGTTCTTATTTGATGTTCAGAGAATAAAGAGGGAATGATATTCAGAGAAGTATGAAATAACTTTTTGAAAGTGATTGAAAACATTGAAGAAGAATTCATAACTTCTGCAAATCCTACATGACATAAATTTTAAAAATAAAGAAACAAGGACAGCTTATAGTGAAACCACTGAAAACCCACTACCATGAAAGAAACATAAATATGTCCAAAGAGAAAAGACAGATTATTTTAAAAGATCATTTAAAAAGAGTAGAAATTGGAAATCAGAATTCTCAGTAGTGTCAATAGAGGTCAGAAGAGAGAAGACGAATGCCTTCAATGTGCTGAGACAAAAATGACTAATTCTACATACGAGTAAACTTTTGATTATGGAGATGAGAAGAAAATTTCAAACAATAAAAAGTGATACTCTCAAGGGAATTTAATGCAAGTTAAATCGCTGGTAAATATGTGGGTATATCTAAAAATAACATGACTGCATAAGGTGATAACGATGTGTAAGGTTAACATTAATCAAAAATAATAATAACACTAACATACTAAAAATATATGCATTCCAGATGATGAGACTTAAAGCATTCCAAGTTCCCCACATTGTTTAAACATGAAGATAAAGACTTTGGCTATTTTTAAAGTTTTAGTTAGCAAGCCTGCCCACATTTAGAGGGAAGTGACTAAAAGAATGGGCTTAAGGAATAATATAGTTTCCAAATGAGCCCCAATGGAATAAGCTAATGCTGCTGGAGAACCAGTAGAGATATAAGTGATACATACATTCCTGTGGTTTAATTACTGAATTTGGGGATTTTTATTATATATTATTATTGTAGCAAGTCCACACACATAATTAGATAAGAATAAAAGAATAAATAGGTCTGGCGTGGTGGCTCACGCCTATAATTCCAGCACTTTGGGAGGGCGAGGTGGGTAAATCACCTGATGTCGGGAGTTCGAGACCAGCCCAGCCAACATGGTGAAACCTCATTTCTACTAAAAATACAAAAATTAGCCGGTCGTGGTGATGCATGCCTGTAATCCTAGCTACTTGGAAGGCTGAGGCAGGAGAACCATTCGAACCCTGGAGGCAGAGGTTGCAGTGAGACAAAACTGCGCACCACTGCTCTCTAGCCTGGGCGACAAACTGAGACTCCATCTCAAAAAAAAAAAAAAAAAAAAAAAGGAATAAATAGACTGTATCTACTATAATAGTGGGAGATTTTCCCCTTTCTTTAGTAGATATAAATGAAACCAAAAAAGATGCAGAGGGGAGAAATATGAAACAAATCTAATTATAATAAGCATTAAAAGGAGAAAAGAAAATTTAAAAATAAAATAGATTCCACTAATATTTTGTTAGAAATGTATCAAAATACAAGTAAACACAATAAATTTAAATGAGCTGAATTATCAATTAAAAAAGATTATGAATTGAAGAAAATTCCAGCTTTATGCTGTTTATAGGATATAACATGCATCTTAAAACAAAAACATTAAAATGAAAATGAGGGAAAAAATAAACCTGGAAAACATTAAAGGAGAGAGGTAATAAATAAGTTAATATATAGAATATATTTCAATAATAAATTATCAAAGAGTAACTATACAAATAAATAGATGATAAGTTGTAGATTGTAGAAGCTCATAAAAAACTAAAAGAAAAATCCAAATGATGGATTGGAATGTTGTTCAGCTAATATTCAGCTGCTCCTCCTCTTCTTAAAACAGAGTAATTTTCCCACTCCATTTATGTGAAATAATTACTCTGCAAAAAAAAATGCCAGAATAAGCTCAAAGAATGAAGAAATATGATTAATGACCTAAAAACATTAAGTACTAAGATATGACACAAAACACATATACATAAGATTAAAAATCTAAAATATGGTTATTTTGTTATATTTGTCAAAATTAATACAAATTATACAAGCAAAACTATTATGAATAAATAGAGATTTAAAATAATATTATGAATAAATGTTTCTCTAAATTTTTTGGCAGACTGGTGGTTAAAAAATCTGAACGTTCATCTCATAAACCTAAGACAAAATAGAAATAAATTGATAAACTTAGAAAAAAGAAATAAAGATAAAACTAGAAATCAATGGAATAGCAAGCAAATATACAATAAAGAAAATAGACAAAGCATAATTGGTTATTTGAAAAGACTATAAATTTGTAAATACACAGGAAGATTGTTAATAAAAAAAGAAAAAAATTACAAAATCAAGTATAAAATGGGTTCTAATGTATAATGACATATCTTACATATGTTGAAAATGTAACAAAATTAGTTAAAATTTGTACTAATAAAATTGATAATGTAGATAAATTGGACAAGATTTTAAAGTCAAAACTTCCTAAAAACGGAGAAAAAAGAAGCAAAATTGAACATTCCATTACATGTTAAACATATTAAATTTATTATTAAAAGTATTTCCCACTTTAAAACCCACCAAAAAAACACAAACATAAAATATGTCAGGACAAGAAAGTAACAAATGAATTATTCCAGACATTAAATATTAATAGAAATAAAAACAGTTTTACACTAACTGCTCCAGAACACAGAAAAAAAGGAAACATATTTTCCAATTTTTTTTACACAAGCAAACTTTACTAAAAATGTGCAAGAATATATAGAAAAGGAAAATAACAGGTTAATGTCTCTAATAAATGTAAACCCAAAATGCTACAAAATTATAAAAAATTTAATCTAGCAGGATAAAAAATAGTAATATGTCAAAACCAAATATTAGTTAATTTAGTACTGTAACCAATAATATCAAAATGAAAATAAGTAACATTCTTTATTCAGTTATAGCCTGTCACCATTTCATATACATTTTGATTAGTTTTTTTCTGAATATAGAAAGTTAATATGAATAATCTATTAAATAGTCTTCGAGAACTTCCCCAAAACCATATGATTTTTGAAAAATTCATATTAGTAGCATCTTATGTATATAAATGTAACCTAGGGAAGGTGAGCATGTCTGCTGATTTGGCAATTTTCATGTAGCTCTTACAGTAGTAATGCAGCAAACAAACCTAATTATTTCTAGCATTTCTCTTTTAAGGTGAAAGACAAATCTTCATAAATTTTTCATTGGTCTTTTGGGAAATCTCAATAATTATTTTACTTATGACATGTCCTGAGTATTTTTTTCCCAAATTTAGAGTTCAATCCTGTGTAGGTGTTTGTTTACAATAGAGTTGTGAGTGCTTGAGAAAGACTGGTTACATATTTGATCAAAATGATAATATAATAAACCATTCAAAATAAATAGAGAAGATAACATGATTGTAACAAATCTTAGCTCTTTTCATGAATGTGAACCTTTTTTTTCCTATTTCTCAATTAGAAACACAATAATGTTCACATAAAGCATAGGAAATTATTCCAGGAAGATACTGAACCTATGCTATCACTTTACACAGAGGCAAAGTTCAATCTTTCATAATATTGATGAGGGCACTCATCAGGAGACCAAGGAAGCAAGCCCATCAAAACTGAGCAAATTTTACATCATTTTACCATGATTTATAGTTTCTTGTCAGACCTAGGTATCATAAATTAAGAAAAGTGAAATTTACTTTCCAAATTTTATTTCGATGATACTCTCTCATATTCTGAAACATACTAACACATTATTTTGGAGCAGTAATTTTTAAAGCATAGTTGAGAGACCCTTGCAGGTCTCAAGGACCCTTTTAGAGAGTCGATGAAGAAAAAACAATTTTCATAATAAGGCAAAAATGTTACTTGCTTTCTTCATTTTTATTCCCCCACAAGTGTACAGTGTATTTTTCCAGAGGCTACATGATGTGTGACATTACATCAGATTCCATGTGCAGCAGCAGATATAAAAATCCACATAAACACAATTTAAAAAAACCATATGATCATCTCAATAGAGGCAGAAAAACTTTTGATAAATCCAACATCCCTTCATGACAAAAACCCTCAACAAACTAGGCATTGAAGGAATGTACCTTAAAATAATCAGAGCCATCTGTGACAAACACACAACCAACTTGTACTGAACTGGAAAAAGCTGGAAACATTCCCCTTAAGAACTGAAACAAGACAAGGATGCCCACTCTCACCACTCCTATTCAACATGGCACTGGAAGATTTTAGCCAGAGCAATCAGTTAAGAGAAATAAATAAAAGGAATCTAAATAGGAAAATAAGTTAATTATCTATTTTCACTGATGATATGATTTTATACCTAAAGAAGCTTAAAGACTCCACCAGAAGGCTCTTGAAATGGATTAACAACTTCAGAAAAGTTTCAGGATACAAAATCAATGTACAAAAATCAGTAGTGTTTCTGTACACCAATAACATTCAACCTAAGAGCCAAATCAATGATGGAATCCCATTTACAATAACCAGAAAAATATAAAATACTTAAGAATATATCTAATCAAGGGGGTGAAAGATCTCTACAAGGAGAACTACAAAACATTGCTGAAAGAAATAATAGATGACAAAAACAAATGGGTAAACGTTCCATATTCAGACTAGAAGAATCAGTATCATTAAAATGGCCATATACCCCAAAGCAATCTACAGATTCAACACTATTCTTATCAAACTACCAACATCATTTTTCACAGAAATAGAAAAAAAAACTATTCTAAAATTCATATGTAACCAAGAAAGAGTGTCAATAGCCAAAGCAATCCTAAGTAAACAGAACAAATCCAGAGGCATCACATACCCAACTCCAAACTATACTATAAGTTTACAGTAATCAAAGCAGCATGGTACTGTTACAAAAAGAGACACATAGACCAATGGAACAGAACAGAGAACCCAGAAATAAAGCCACACACCTAAAACCACATGATCTTTGACAAAGTCAATGAAAACAAGAAATGCAGAAAGAACTCTCTATTCAATAAATTGTGCTGGGATAACTGACTATCCATATGCAGAAGTAGAAAACTAGACATCTGCTTATCAGCATATGCAAAAATTAACTTAAGATGAATTACTGATTTAAATGTAAGACCCCAAACTCTAAGAATCCTAAAGAAAAACCTGAGATACACTCGTCTCAACATTGGCCTTGGCAAAGAATTTATGTCTGAGTCCTCAAAAGTAATTGTAGCAAAAACGAAAATAAACTTTAAGAGTGTAGTTGGACTGTGTGTAACTCAAAACATAAATGCTTGAGGGAATGGATACCCCATTCTCCATGACGTGCTTCTTTAATATTACATGCCTGTATCACTTAACCTACAGGGTGGGAGAAAATATTTAAAAACTACGCATTCAAAAAAGGTCTAATATCCAGAATCTTTAAGGAACTTAAACAAATCAACAATCAAAAAACAAATAGCCCACTAAAAAGTGGGCAAAGGACGTGAACTTCTCAAAAATAGACATATAAATGGCCAAGAAACATAGGAAAAAATGCTCATCATCATAATCATCAGAGAAGTGCTAATAAAAACCACAGTGAGATACCATCTCACACCAGTTAGAATTGTTATTATTAAAAAGTAAAAAACAAATGTTGAGGCTGCAGAGAAAAGGGAACACTTTTACATTGTTGGTGGGAATGTTAATTAGTTTAGCCATTTGCAGAAAGCAATTTGGAGATTTGTCAAAGAATTAAGAGTTAAATTAACTTTTGACCCAGCAATTTCATTACTGGGCAAATACAAAAAGGAATATGAATTGTTTTACAAAAAAAACACATGTACTTATATGTTCACTGCAGCACTATTCACTATAGCAAAGATGTAGAATCAACCAAAGTGCCTATCAGTGGTGGAGTGTATAAAGAAAATGTGCTACATGTACATCATGGAATACTACACAGCCATAAGAAAGAGCAAAATCATGTTCTTTGCAGCAACATAGATGTAGGTGGAGACCATTGTCCTCACTGAATTAACATAGAATCAGAAAAACAAATACCACGTGTTCTCACTTATAAGTGAAAGCTAAATATTGGAAACACATGGAAATAAGATGGGAAAAATAGACAGGGGGATGGAGGGAGAGGGGAAGGGTTGGAAAACTACCTATTCAGTACTATGCTTACAACCTGAGTGACAGGTTCTGTTGTATCCCAAATCTCAGCATCATACAATATACCCTTGAAACAAATTTGCACATGTACCCTCTGAATATAAAATAAAAGTTGAAAAAAAATAATTTCCAGCCATCCTCTAACAAGACAGGAGCTAAAGAGATTTGCAAAATTGTTAAACCCATGTCACTCTTTATAATATTTTTTATTTTGTTTTGGAATAACAGTGGGTCCAAGAAGCGGCCCACTGGCAACAGACAACACAGGTGCAAGTGTACACCTCTCTGGGGCATAATGTCCTCTAGGTTTATTCATGTTGGCACAGATAACAGAATTCCATTATTTTTAAAGGCGAAATAGTCTTCCATTGTGTATATATACTTTTTATATTCATCTATCCAAGTAACCCAAATGATGGGAACTAAGTTTGCTTCCATATTTTGGCTATTGTGAATAACACTGCACTGAACATGGGAGAACAGACATCCCTTCATACGAATGTCAGTTTCTTTGAATATATACCCAGAAGTGGGACTGTATTATTATATGGTAATTCCACTTTTTTGATTTTTGAGGAACTTCCATACTGTGTTTCATAATGGTTATGCTAATGTACATTCCCACCAGTTACAAGTGTTTCCTCTTCTCCATATGTTTGCCAACACTATCTTTCGTCTTTTACCAAACAGACATTCTAACATGTGAAGGGTGTATCTCGCTGTGATGTTAATGTCCATTTCTCTGATGATTAGTAATGCTGAGTATTTTTTCATATATCTGTTTGCCATCACATCATAGAAAATCACATCATGGAAAATGGGGTATCCATCCCCTCAAGCATTTATCCTTTGTGTTACAAATAATCCAATTATACTCTTTTCATTATTTAAAAATGTAAGATTAAATTATTATTGACTATAGTCACACTGTTGTGTTATCAAATACTAGGTTGTGTTTATTCTTTTTAATATTTTTTGTACTCATTAACCGCCCCCACCTTCTTTTCCAACCTTGCACTACCCTTCCCAGCCTCTGGTAACCATACTTCTACTCTCTATCTCCATGAATTCATTTGTTTTGATTTTTAGATCCCACAAATAAGAGAGAACAGGCAGTGTTTGTCCTTCTGTGCTTGGCTTATTTCACTTAACATAACAATCTCCAGTTTCATCCATGCTGTTACAAATGATGGGATCTCATTCATTTTTATGGCTAAATAGCCCTCCATTGTGTATAAGTACCATATTTTTTTTGCCCATTCATCTGTTGGTAGACACTTAGGTTCCTTCCAAACCTTGGTTATTGTGCAAAGCACTGCAACAAACATGGAAGTGCAGATATTTCCTCAATATATTAATTTCCTTCATTTGGGGTATATGCCCAGCAGTGGGATTGCTGGATCATATGGTCACTCTATTTCTGTTTTTCTGAGGAACCTCCCAACTGTTCTCCATAGTGGTTATGCTAATTTACATTTCCACCTACAGTATATAAGGGTACTCTTTTCTTCACATCCTCTCCAGCATTTGTTATTTCCTGTATTTTGGATAAAAGTTATTTTAATTGTGGTAAGAGGATAACTCATTGTAGTTTTGCTTTACATTTCTCTGATGACCAGTGATGCTGAGCACCTTTTTATATACCTGTTTTCCATTTGTATATCTTCTTTTGAGAATTGTCTTTTCAAATATTTTCTCCCTTTTAATTGGATTATTAGGCTTTTTTTTTCCTTTAGGATTGTTTGAGCTCCTTATATATTCTGGTTATTAATCCCTTGTCAGATGGGTAGTTTGTAAATATTTTCTCCAATTCTGTGGGTTATCGCTTCACTTTTTTTTTTTATTATTTCCTTTGCCGTGCAGAAGCTTTTTAACTTGAGGTGATCCCATTTGTCAATTTTTTGCTTCGGTTGCCTGTGCTTATGGGATATTACTCAAGAAATTTTTGCCCAGACCAATGTCCTGAAAAGTTTTCCCAATGTTTTCTTGTAGTAGTTTCATACTTTGAGGTCTGAAGTTTAAGTCTTTAATATATTTTAATTTGATTTGACTTTTGTATGTGGCAAGAGACATGGATATATTTTAATTCTTCTGCATATGGATATCCAGTATTCCCAGCACCATTTCTTGAAGAGACTTTCTCTTCCCCAATGTATGATTTTGACAACTTTGTCAAAAATGAGTTCACTCTGGGTGCGTAGATTTGTTTCTCAGTTCTCTATTCTGCTCCATTGGTCTATGTGTCTGTATATCGCCAGTACCATGCCAGCACGGCACTATGGCTCTGTAGTATAACCTGAAATTTTGGTTACTATAGCTCTGTAGTATAATTTGAAATCAGGTAATGTGATTCCTCCAGTTTCATTCTTTTTGATTAGGCTAGCTTTGTCTATTTGGGGTCTTTTGTCATTCCAGGTAAATTTTAGAATTTTTTCTGTGTCTATAAATAATGTCATTAGTATTTATAGGAAATGCATTATACCTGTAGATCATTTTGGGTAGAATGGATATTTTAACAATATTGATTCTTCTAGTCCATTAACATGGATTATCTTTCCATTTTTTGTGTCATCTATAATTTCTTTTGTAAGTATTTTATAGTTTTCCTTATAGAGATCTTTCGTGTATTTGGTTAAGTTAATTCCTAGGCATTTAATTTTATTTCTGGGTATTGTAAATGAGATTACATTTTTCTTTCTTTTTTAGGTTGTTCACTATTAACATGTAGAAATGCTACTGATTTTTGTACATTGTTTTTTTGTCTTACAACTTTAATGAATTTGTTTAACTACTGAGTTTTCAGTAGTTAAAAAGCTACTGAATATTTTTTGATAGAGTTTATAGGTTTTATTTCAAACATGAGATCACATCACCTGCAAAAAATAATATTTTGACTTCTTCATTTCCAATTTGGATGCCTTTTATTTCTTTCTCTTGTCTTTTTGCTCCAGGTAGGACTACCAGTTTTATGTTAAATAACAGTGGTGACAGTGGGCATCCTTGTTGTGTTCCACATCTTTGAGGAAAGGCTTTCAGTTTTTTTCTCATTCAGTATGATACTATTTGTGGGTCTGTTTTATATGGCTTTTATTATGTTTAGTTATGTTACTTCTATATCCAGTTTTTTTGTGGATTTTTATCATGATGTATGTTGAATTTTATCAAATGCTTTTTTCAGCATCAATTGAAATGGTTGTATGGTTTTTATCCTTTATTCTGTTGATATGATGTGTCACATTCATTGATTTCCATATGTTGAACCATCCTTGCATCCCTAGGATAAATTTCACTTGGTCATGATGAATGAACTTTTTAATGTGTTGTTGAATTCGGTTTCCTATTACTTTGTTGATGATTTTTGGATCAATATCCATTCCAAGTGTCAGCCTGTGGTTTTCTTTTTTTGATGTGTCTCATTTTGGTATCAGGGTCATGCTTGCCTTGTAGAATGAATTTGGAGGTATTCCCTCCTCTATTTTTTTTTTTGGAAAAGTGTAAATAGAGTTAGTATTAGTTCTTTAAATGTATGGCAGAATTCAGCAGTGAAGGCATTGGCTATCAGGGTTTTTCTTTACTGGGAAACTTTCTATTATGGCTTCAGTCTCATTACTTGTTATTCATCTGTTCATGTTTTGAATTTCTTCATGGTTCAATCCGTAATGAATTCATGAGATTCACTATTTTAGCTCCCACATATGAGTGAGAACATGCAATATTTGACTTTCTGTGCTTGCCTTACTTCACTTAACGTAATGACCTCTAGTTTCACCCATGTTGCTGCAAATTATGGAATTTCATTTTTTTCTGGCTGAATAATATTTCATTCTGTACATATACCAAATTTCCTTTATTCATTCATCTGTCATTGGAAACCTAGGTTGATTCCATATCTTGGTTGTTGTGAATAGTAGTACTGCAATAAACATGGGGGTATAGATATCTTGTTGGTATACTCATTTCCTTTCTTTTGGATATATACCCAGCAGGGGAATTGTTGGATCATAGAGTAGTTCTATTTTTAGTTTTTGATGAAACTCCATACTGTTTTTATAGCAGTTGCACTACTTTACATTCCCATCAACAGTGTACGAGCATTCCTTTCTCCACATTCTCGCCATCTTCTCTTATTTTTTCTTTTTAATAGTCATTTCAACTGGGGTCAGATAACATCTCGTTGTTTTGATTTGTATTTCTTTAATAATTAGTGATGTTGAGCATTTTTTCATATACTTCTTGACTATTTGTGTGTCTTTTCTTGATAAATGTTTATTCAAATCTTTTGCCCATTTTTAAATTGTATTATTTGCTGTTTTTGTATGTGTGTGTTGTTTTATTTGCTATTTAGTTGTTTGATTTCCTTATGTATTCTGGTTAGATGCTTCCAGCTTTGTTCTTTTTGCTCAAAACTGATTTGGCTCTTTTGGGTCTTTTGCGGTAATATACCAATTTTAGGTTGTATACTATACCATTTTTTTATGTGAAAAATGACATTGACAATTTGATAGCCATTGCATTGAATCTGTGGATCACTTTGGATAGTATGGACATTTTAACACTGTTATTTCTTCCAATCCATGAACATGAGCTATCTTTTAAGGATAAATATTTTAAACATTTTCAGTTTTTATTTCTTTTATTACAAAGTATTAAAAGAATGTTTGTCCTCAGTGTATTCAAGAATTCACTTAATGGATGAATTATATCCTGAGATCAAAGAATTGAAATAGCTCTTGAGGATAAAATTATTCTTCGACCTTAAAAACACCACACACATACAGTTTTAGTTGTGCCACAGTTGCTGCTAGTATAGTCTCAACTACTCATATTAATTGTAACATTTACCAAAAGTAGCTAATTTCTATTTCACAGAGGGCCCTGGATAATTCAGAATTGCCTGCAATATAAGTGTTTAGCAGTCTATCAAAGTACTTTGACGCACAAGAGTTTCATCTGCCAAAGATTGACCTTAATTATGTAAACTTAGATTATTATTTTTTATTATTATTATACTTTAAGTTCTAGGGTACATGTGCACAACATGCAGGTTTGTTACATATGTATACATATGCCATGTTGGTGTGCTGCACCCATTAACTCGTCATTTACATTAGGTATATCTCCTAATGCTATCCCTCCCCCCTCCCCCCACCCCACGACAGGCCCCAGTGTGTGATGTTCCCCTTCCTGTGTCCAAGTGTTCTTACTGTTCAATTCCCACCTATGAGTGAGAACATGTGGTATTTGGTTTTCTGTCCTTGTGACAGTTTGCTCAGAATGATGGTTTCCAGCTTCATCCATGTCTCTACAAAGGACATGAACTCATCCTTTTTTATGGCTACATAGTATTCCATGATGTATATGTGCCACATTTTCTTAATCCAGTCTAAAAATGCTCATCATCACTGGCCATCAGAGAAATTCAAATCAAAACCACAATGAGATACCATCTCACACCAGTCAGAATGGCGATCATTAAAACGTCAGGAAACAAAAGGTGCTGTAGAGGATGTGGAGAAATAGGAACCCTTTTACACTGTTGGTGGGACTGTAAACTAGTTCAACCATTGTGGAAGACAGTGTGGTGATTCCTCAAGGATTTAGAACTAGAAATACCATTTGACCCAGCCATCCCATTACTGGGTATATACCCAAAGGATTATAAATCATGCTGCTGTAAAGACACATGCACACATATGTTTATTGTGGCACTATTCACAATTGTAAACTTAGATTCTTAAAGTGTTTCTGAGCTTACAATTACTGAAAGAAGAATTTTTCTCTTTAGCACATTTAAAGTATACAAAACCCAATTTAGTTATTTCCTGGGAATTTAAAAAATATTCCATTTAATTAACTGCCTAATTATGTTTATAAGCAAAACAAAATCAATATTTAAGAGATATTAAAATCAATGATATTTTTCTTATAAATCAAATACTCTCTAGAAAAAAGAAAAGATTTCATATCTACACAAAAGGTAAAGAGCTCCATGAATTAAAGACACAGACATATAAACTATAGCTTATAGTGTCAGTTTTACAATTTCAAGAGTATTAGGTCAAGAGTAAAAACAGAAACACAAGCATCTACTCCATATTTCAAAGGCCCTTTCTCTCAATAGACTTAAAATTCTTAAATATTTGAGTTTAAAATAGAATAATAGATAAACAAATGCAAAGGATTAACAAACTGGATCTTTATTGTCTCTCACTCAACAGATTACTATTATCTATCTACAGAGATCACCAAATAGTTGAGATCATAAGACCAAATTCCCAATCACTGCCGCAACCAAAGAGAAAAGTTACCACTCATGAATGAATAAGAAAACACAATAAAACACCATATATAATCAGTGAAGTGGAAACATTTTCTCAGGAAACAGAGAGTTATAAAAGTTAAGGTTTTTGCTGCATGGTATTCTCTCTGGGAATCAAAAAAAAAATTGTATCTACATCTAAGTTGTTATGAATAACACTTCCTTGACAGTGTGGTTTATCTCTCCCTGTCAGGCAAATATTTTCAGCATCTCAGTAAACTCCCAAACTGTTAAAATATTTTAAAACTAACACCATAACATTCATAAAAATATAAATTTGAAATTAGCCCAATTGTCTCATAAAATTGATGTTTAGCATCTCTTTGTAATTGGCCCTCTTGGTTTTGGTTTTAAAGATTGAAACTTACATTTGTTTTATCTGAGTTCCTTCCTCCGCAAATTGACCCTCAGCTCTCACAGATGGTATTAAGGAAGTGGAACTCACCAGATGACCAGATCCAGACAATGAGATACCAGGCTCCTCATCATGACTGCCTCCTTACCCCTCCTTAATTCCTGTTTTCATTACTTTTTGCTATATATACACCCAATTTTAGTTGGTTGGGGAGACAAATTTGAGACTTATCTCCAGTGTTATTGGATGACCTCATCTGATTAAAGCCTTTCTTCCGTGGCTATACTCACTGTTTCAGTGATTGGCTTTCCATATGATGAGCAATAGGACCTTGACCAAACCTCTGGCATCTTGGCAACAAATTGAACATGTATCCAAGCGTTTACTTTTTTCCATTAAGAGAGAACCAGTTCAAAAGAGAATCCAAGGAATACACACATACACGGGTAATGAAAAATGCTAATTACATCTTCACTGGAACCTTTCATTTGCATTTTTTGAAATAACTACTGATGATAGCATAAACTCTCTATAAGCTACTTCTTTCTCCAAAATTTGCAAAATAGTCAAAGGTTATAAAAGATTCAGATTCTTATATTATGAGATTATTCTGAGAGGTCCCTCCAGATCTAAACAATGCCTTGCATCTCACTGAAAGGATACCCATTTATCTTTTTACTTCTTTCAAACTGTGTGTCTTTTCTTTTTTCTGACACAAGATCTTTCAAAAAAGGAGCTCTGAATCTGTTAATTGGCTTGCATCTGAGAATTGGGTATGAAATTTTGAAGCCCTTTCACAGCAATTCAAGTCAGTTGTATGCCCAGAATTTTAGAGTAGGCCGATAGCTAGAAATGAACAGGAGAGGGAGCTCCTGAGAAGGGAAAAGTCTGGGAAGGCTCATTCCAGGACCACCCTAAATTTGCATATTAACAGCATCTCTACTGCTGGAGTGGGCGGGCACTTAGTCAAAAGTGGGTAGGGAAGAAGAGGTAGCTACATGGAAAGAAATGCCCCAAGACACCTCTTAAGACACCCCAATAATCATTCACTCTGCGATTAAAGTATCAGAACATCACTAGTTATATGCTGATAAGAAGGGCAAAAGGGACATTCCTAAGAGAAACCTGGCGCCATATGTACAGATTAGGGGAAAGAAGGAAATTCCAAAGAGATACTCAGGTGCAATAGCTATAGATTTGACTGCTATACAACCTTCCTAGGGTGGCAATAATGAGTAGGGCCGCCATCAGACAGGATTCATAGTAAATCATGGGCCAGCGCATGCACATTAACCAACAGTGAGAGAGGGTCCCACAAGCCTGGGGAAGGGGGGCGGAGCACAGGCGAGGACTTAAGGCAGGAGCGGGAAAACTACACTAAGGAAAAAGGTAGAGATTTGAGACAGAGGCAGGAATTTGAAGATGTCTAACACAATAAGACTCCCTGCATAGGACCCTCGGAGCTGTTTTCCCACAGGATCAGCCCTCTCCTCCCTTGGGGAATACTTTTTTTTTTTCTGCAATAACCTCTTTACACTATATTTCTTTTCAGTAAAGTTTCCTGCTATCTTTGTACTGTCTCTTGGCCAACATTTTTCTTCCAAGTTAGAACATAATTGGAACATTTGCTCTCCTGGTTAATAAGAAGACCTAGAATTCTTCCATTTTCTACATGATTCATGTAGCCCCTTGATAGACTGCTCATCTGTTTGATTCCTTGGGGCCCTGAAATGAGTCATCCGTCCTTACAGACTGCTGAAGAAAGAACACAATCTGGTTACCCACATCTCTGTGGCTTATTAGACCAATCACTCGCACCTTGTGCTGGAGGTTTAATACCTGCTACTCACACTCACCCCGTCTGGGACCCCATTGTTTCCATGAAATCAGAAACTCTACATCTTTGAAGTGTCTTTTACTATTTTTCTATGCTGCTGTGGAAAGATACCACATAAAAACACTGTACAAGGATGTTGTTGGTCCTTTCTCATATGTATTTATCATTCTATATGGATTAGATAGATTTCTGTTTATTTGTTTCCTATTTGTTTCAGGTCTAGCAGCTAATTTATGTAGGGCATCTAATGTTCATTATTCCTAAAAAGAACTTCTCTCTGATTCAATCATCTCTGTTTTTCTTATTCTGTAGATTATTTATGTCATTTCTTTCAAAAATTTATTTTTTACTTGATTTTTCTATGATAATTATTTAGCTTATTAATGCTTTATAAACTTACAAAAGTATTTCTCTCCTAAAGATTTTATTTTATCCTTGTGGTTATTGCCTTTTCTTATTGAGTCATCAATCTTCTGTTTCATGGTATATGGAGTATTAATTCCGTTGTTTGTACAAATTACCCTCTCTTACCTTCTTACTTACTTTCTTTAATTTATGATTTTAACACTAGAGAGAGATGCTATAGACTATTGTTTTAAGAGAGTAGCTCATAGATAAAAAGAACTCATTTTTCAAGGTCCCATAAAAGATAAAAAGGTTCATTTTTTCCAGAAATAAATGATTAATAATTTTAGCAAGACTCATACTAGGGAAGTGACTCAAATTCAAGTTTAGAGAAAGAATCCTATAAGAATACAGGAAGAAGACATAGGAAACATTTAACCTGTCAAAGATCATACTCAGCAATTTTAGTTTGCTAAAAATGGAATAATGTTTACAAAGCTCAGGAGAGAAAACTGAATGATACAAGTAGTCATCTTAATCATTATTGTGAAAAAATCTGAAGATGTAAATAAAACATGAAATTCAGCAAAGTGGAGAGAATTTGTAGTAACCAATGCCATAGGAGAAAATATTTAACATTTTCAACTAAATAATAATATAATTCAAAATATTTCTGGTGTACACAAGTAGACTTTACTCATTTGCAATAGGTTATATTAATTCCATTTGTGACTTTAAGAACTTCCATTATTACTTATAGTATAGCATAATCTCTGGAGTTCAGAAAATAATTAATTATATATTGGTGCACAGTTTTTCTTTTGTTTCAATTAATAAAACTGATGCTTTCAGATGGATTTTTAAAATTTATACTTTATACAGGATATTTTTAAAGGAAGCTAACTTGTAACACAATTTATTACCAGTGTTATCTGTGGGAAAAATTTGGAAATAGGTTTTTAGTATTAATTATTGTGTTAATGAAATTTAAAACAAAATAAATATTCACTTTGACCAGAAAGGTGTTACACATTGTAATAAATAGATGATTTTATTATTGCAAAGCTCCAGTTGAGAAATCTATATTTGAGCCAGTGGGCTTGTTAATATTGCTAATAATGCATGAAAAAAATGTATCCATTTAACTCATTTTGAATCAGGTAAATGGAGTTGTTATTGGCTATTATCAATGCTAATTATATCTTCCTCAAAAAGTGCTATGAAAGTATCAAAAACTCGTCTCCCTTTGGAGTAAAAACATTGTATCTAACTCCATAAAATGTAGGAAGTCCATATATATATATATATATATATATACACATATATATATACGTATATATATATATATACACATATATACATATATATACACATATATACATATATGTGTATATATACATATCACATATATACATATATGTATATATATACATATATATACATATATGTATATATACGTATATGTATATATGTGTGTATATATATATATATGGACTTCCTACATTTTATGGAGTTAGATACAATGTTTTTACTCCAAAGGGAGACGAGTTTTTGATACTTTCATAGCACTTTTTGAGGACATATACGTATATATACGTATATGTATATATACAGAAAAATGAAAAACTGTTCATCTTATAAACAAAGGTCAAAAACCTAATGATCATACTGGAATGTTCTGAATGTTTTGTCTGTAACTGTTTTAAATTGTTTAAATTTAGTGGATAGTGAGGAGGAAAATAATAAATTTCTCTTTATGCCATAGGTTTTTTGTGTCCTGAATTTTCCAGTTCTATTAGTTTAAAAGAATCAAACATCACTTTGAGCCTATAGAAGGGAGTTATCCCTGCTGTTAACAAATGTTTACAGTAAATTCTATTCATCATTAAAGAGGAAATTTGTCACATTTGTGCTTGAGGAGTCATGATATTTAAGAAGCAGATCACTTTTTTCTTACCACTCACCATGACATTAATTCAATTAGAACATTCAATTAGGTATCTGATTGATGTCAATGTATATTAAAACATTAGAATAACATTTGTAAAACTTGATAATCCTTTGGGGTTTATTTGAATAATGAACTGTGTACATGTTCCTTACATAATAGCATAGGGATTTAAATTTGCTCTATGGTTGCATGCCTTATTTGAAGATGATTACAAACTCATTGTTGGGCTTTAACTTATTTTTCGTCTTACATTCAATGAGTTCCAGAAACTTCTATGACCACACAACTCATCCAAGATAATAAATTCTGAGTGCTGAGGAACTACATTCATGTTGATAATCATTTTATATTCAGTCCTTCTTTGCCTTTCACCCTTCCATTCCCATGCATTCTCCTCAGATTCTTGCAAGTGAAAACTGGCAAATCCTGCAACTCCTTGGTATATAGCCCATCTTCTCCCACATAAGTTTTCATACAGGCATATATAGGGATTTAGCTCTTCTTTTGAGTCCTTTGGAAGCAACAAGGAACAGTTTATTATCCCAAGGAGAAAAAGTATCCCCTTATGAGACAATGACCCATGTGAAGCCCTTAAGGCATTCTGTGCCTAAGGGGATGTTTTCCTCAGATGCCTGTGAAGGTGAGGATGGAAAGATGTTATTCTCTCAAGAAGGCTCCTAGGTAATGGTAGTTTCAATATTATCAAATTTCTCTGTGTCTATTCAGAAGTTTCTTTTTATTGTAACAGGTTGCAATTCTTCCCTATCACTGTTCTTTCTTTAAGATTATCTGGCAAAGGTGTGTATTTATTTGTTGCTTCAATTCTGTAAGCATTGCACTCAGCTCTAGGCTTAACCCTGAGACACATCTGTCCTTTACCCATGTCAAATAGGGAATTACTTTAAAATTGTCAAAGAAGCTTTTTAATCTTTCTAATTTCAAATCTGCTTATTGAATTTATTAATTTAAGGCATTGAATTTTTACTTTGCCTGTATGTTTTTTATAGCTACAAAAGCTTCCAATCCAACAATATTTGTAATCATAATCGATCCCATATGTCTAAGTGCTATAACCATTTTTTCTACCAAATTTTACCCTTCTTCTACCTCATGGCACTATTGTTAATAACTTAAGTAATCATGATACCACTATCTGATTACTGTTCCATTTTTTTCTTAAGCAAGGAAGCTGTCCATGAATTATTAATCTATGTGACCTACCAAATTTTAAAATCCTATTTTGAGGGTTTTCTTTCCTGGACCCACTCATAGTACCACTCTATTGTTCTAGGTTCCAGAAGATGGCTTACTCAAAGTGAAAGTGAAAAAAAAAAAAGTCTAATGAAGAGATTATATACACAGATGTATGTAGGATTAAGGGAACAAACAAGGAAAGATTATTCACCCAGTCACTAGCAACAGCATAAATTCTTTATTAGTCATAGGCTCAAGTAGGAAAGGGATGATGGTAAATGAAAACTGAGAAGAGTTTTTGATTTGAAAGAAGGTGTCCTCAAATCAATTATGGCAACAGGTAGAAAATTGTTGCCACTATTAAAACACGGTCAGGTGTGGAAAAAATGAAGAACATAATTCCCCCAACCTTTTGTCCAACACAATGATCTCCTGCTAGCATTTTGCATTACCTGACTCCAACTAGAAGACAGGAAGAAAGGTATCCCAAATAATTCAATCAAACAGATTAGCCTCATAAAACACAGAGAAGGGCGAAAATGGTAGAGTGTTTCTGAAGTGGCAGATAGAGAAAAAACTGTTTACTCTTCTATCAGACTCCATTACTTCATAAATAATAGTTGTGTTTCCACTGTTTACCTTTTACTTCACAATATTGGGAACTGTTGTACAAATAAATATAATTCCAGACCCCAAATAATAGTATATCCACACTTTTGTCATCCTTTTCTATAGCTTTGTCTTGTTTATATGCACAAGAGTGATTTTTGCTTTGTTTTCTACATATTATGTTCCTCTGTTTTGAACCATGGGGCTGGTAACCACTTTCCCTACTCCCCTGTCCATAAAATGGCACCAGTACTACATGTATTAATGATTATCAAAACAGAGATATTTTTTCGGGTCCAGATAACTTATGCAAGGCGAAATGGACATATTAAGTTGGTGATAAAGTAATTGTGGTTTTTGCCACTAAAAGTAATGGCCAAAATCGCAATAACTTTTGCACCAACCTAATATTTGTCTGTGATTCAAGCTAGAAAGAAAGACAATGAAAAAGAAAGAACAGGAAGGAAGGAGGGAGGGAGGGAAGGAAGGAAGGAAGGAAAGAAAGAAAAAGAAAATGAGAAAGGAGAAGAAAATGAGAAAAGAGAAGAAAATGAGAAAGGGACAGGAAAGGAAAGGGAAGGGAAGGGAAGTGAAGGAAAGGAAGGAAAGAAAGAAAAGGGGAAAAAGGGAGAAATACATCTAAATCTTAAAAAAATATCTTCTATTTTAGGCTCAGGGGTACATGTGCAGGTTTGTTATATAGGTAAACTCAAGTCAAGGGGTTTGTTGTACAGATTATTTCATCACCCAGGTACTAGGCCTTGTGCCCAACAGATATTTTTTCTGATCTTCGCCATCTTCTTACCCTCCACCCTCAAGCAGGCCCTAGTGTCCATTGTTCTCCTCTTTGTGCCCATGTGTTCCTATCCTTTAGCTCCCACTTACAAGTGAGAACCTGTAGTATTTGGTTTTCTGTTTCTGCATTAGTTTGCTAGAAATAATGGCCTCAGCTGCATCCATGTTCTTGCAAAGAACATTTTATTCTTTTTAATGGCTGCACAGTATTCCATGGTGTATATGTACCACATTTTCTTTACATGTGGCCAAAAAGCATATGAAAAAAGTTCAATATAACTGATAGAGTAATGCAAATCAAATCCACAATGAGATATCATCTCAGAACAGTCAGAATGGCTTTTATTAAAAAGTCAAAAAATAACAGATGCTGGCAAGGTTGCAGAGAAAATGAAATGCATACACACTGTTGATGGGAGTGTAAATTAGTTCAACCATTGTGGAAAGCAGTGTGGTGATTCCTCAAAGAGCTAAAAACAGAACTATCATTCAACCCAGAAATCCTATTACTGATTATATACCCAAAGGAATAGAAATCGGTCTACCATAAAGACATGTGCACACATATGTTCATTGTAGCACAACCCACAATGGCAAATACATGAAATAAACTTAAATGCCCATCAATGGCAAATTGGACAAAGAAAGTGTGGAACATATGCATATCTAAATTTTAATTAATATTAAACTCCATTACTCAAATCTGTTTCTCTGTGCATTCTCCATCTCAACGAATGTCACCACTTTTCTCCTAGTTGCCAGCTTGATATCTATTTCACCATTAATTTCTTCCTGTCATGCTCTTTAACCTATCTCTAGTTAGTCTCAATATCATGTTAATTTGACCATATAAAAAGCTCTCAATCTGCCCTTAATCTTGATTCACCATTGCTAGGTAAATTTCTGCCCTTCTCAATTCACAACTTTATTACTATAATAGTTTCCTAATGCAGCGCTCTGCCCACACACCTCTCCTATCCAATTCATTCCTCCCAGGGTGTTACATAAGTGATTTGTTCAAAACACAAATTTTGTCCTACCAGTTTTCTTTTAAAAATCATCCAGTTGTTTTCATAATTGTTTTCATATTGACACACAATAGCCTTCATAATCTAGCCCCTGCCTGTGTATGAAGCTGCTTCACATGACTCTCCTTCCAAGGGTAACTAATGATCCAGCAATATTTGCAGCTCATTGGATACCATAGTTTCTTCAATATGTAATAATACTCAATTCTTTTTTCTTAACTTAACTACCAGTTTCTGAACTGAAAGTGAATCTTCTCTCACTCTTTGTTGTTACCTATTAGGTACCTTCATAATTACTTTGCTTGCTTCTATCATACTGTCTTATCATTATTTTCCATTTCCCCTAGCCTATAAATTTCATGGGTATAAGAATGGGTTTTAGTTATGTTTTGAGATTTACATCTCTAGTACCCAACAAAGGGTCTGGAGACTTGAAGAAGTCAAAAGCATATTTAATATACAAGTGAGTGAGCGGTTGAATCTTTGTAATTAAAAGTATATTCCTAGATAAGGATTGCTCACTTGATGCTTCTGACCTAAAGATGTCCCCAAATTGTGGCCTGCTGGTGAAATTGAATCCCATGGAGCCAAACAGTAATACCTTTTTGTTTTCTCTATTATAATGATGATTCCTGACTGGTGTGGAAATACTCCTTAGCCAGTCTCTTGTCAGCAGGTTAATAACTCTTTGTCTTCCTTCTGCCCCAATGCATTGGTCTCTAGTCAAAGGGCTTTACAGATTCCTTTCTCCAACTCCTATGCATTGCTCAAATATCAATATGGGCTAATCTCCAAGTCATGGATTTTAATCATTTTTTAACATGATGTTGGCCCAACATATTTGGAAATTCTCATTTGGATTTATTTTCAGAGAAAATAAATACTGTGTTACATATTCTCAGTGATTGCAAAACTTTCTCCCTCAAAAATATACTTCCTTCAAAATTACTAAAAACCATTCAGAATCAGCCATTATTCATGATGATACCACATAGATATATCTGAAAAGTATAAAACAAAAATTAATAAATATGCAAGTATCTAGCATTAAAAAGCAAATAATTATAAAATAGCATTGACTTTTTATAAAAGTATTTTTTTCCATTGAGTTATAAAACATAGTTCTGAGCGAAGGCTCTCTAGGATTGCTTCCTTTTCTTATAAGGAAACCAGTCCTATAGGATCATTGCCCCACCCTATGACCTCATTTAACCATTATTACCTCTCGTAAAGGTCCTATCTCCAAATACAGTCACATTGCGGGTTAGGGCTTCAACATACGAATTTGGAAGTGAGTGGGTAGGGGAAACACAATTCCATTCACAGCATCTCTTAATCAAACATTGTAGTGTAAAACCAGATCTGATAGAAGTGGTTTCAGGAAAGGAGGCATGTATGCTTATATAAAGACTATTCAAAGTCTTTAGGAAAAAAAAAAAAGTACAGAGATGAAGGCTCTAACATTATAATAGACAATGAAAGGATATTAACTTCTGTCTTCAAAATCTTATTTGTACAGCCTGAATTTGAAAATACAACTTAGCAAAAAATGGCAGATGAGGTCTGAAAAAATAAAGCAGAGTACATTAAAAATCAATTACAAATCGTAATGAAGAACTAAATTCCAGCAAATGTTTTTTTCTCTGATAACACATTTCTCAGCATTATGAAAGGAAAATTTAGTTGTCCATTTTTAGTCATAAAATCTGTCAAAATTGACCTGTGATTAACATGCTTTACAAGTTTATTGTGTAACTGATAATGTTTATGTAAACATAATCTAAACAAAATGACATTCAAAGAAGGTGACAAGAGAAAAATCAATCTTTATCATTTTGGAAATTCTTAGTGTAAGCAAAAAGATCCAGAGCACTTGAATATGCATAAGGATTTTGAATATGTGTAACTGTTACAACCAGAGAACTTTGTTGACCCTTAGATGTAGAGTCACAAGAAAGTCAAAAGCAATAGCATTCTATTAAGAAAAACTTTATTGGATGAAGTAATGTCCTCGAAAATAATAACTGAAAGCCCGATTTATGCAAAATTACCATGTGAGTAATTTTCTAGGAATAAAATTATTCTCTGGTTTTGAATATATGTTAAATGCTTCAAGTTCTTGTAGCATTATTTGCTACTTTTGTAAATAAATAATTTTAAATTTGTATCTTTCTGTTATTGTACACAAAATTTGCTAGTGTACTCTCAAAATCTATTTGATATGGTCTGAATTGAACCATCCTACTGGTTATCTTTCTACATTTTATTTTTCTTGATACACTTTCTCTGCTACACCTCTGCATATTGGTATACTAAGGCTTGGCTATAGAAAATATTCTCCCTATATATTCTTTCTCTGATATTTTCTTCTGGGTAAAATACATTAAATACCATTGATGTGTTTTCTTCTCCCAATTTTTTACTCTAAGTGCTGAACTCTCCCATGAATTTCAAACATATATATTCAACTGCTTACTCAATATATCCAAGTTTTGAATGCAGCAACTGTTCTTTGCAACTGAGATGGCAAATAACATTTTAAACAACATGAAAAAAGTTAACTCCAGAGTTTCCACCCAAACCCACCTTTTACCTCATCATAATATATAATGTGGTTACCTGGTTACTATTAATAATATTTTATGTTCTAGATAAACTATTTATGACAAGATAAGCAACAATTATGCTTATCTTTTCCAGCACAACATTTCTATCTAGAATAATTTGGGTGCCCAATAATATGGGTTTGATAAATTAATGGAAAATGACGACATGGAAGTTGCATAGTATATGCAATTTATTTTAAAAAAGAGGCAGTCATCATCTAGAGCTAAAACTAAAACACCATTAAAATTATTTATAATTAGGAGAGCTATGCCACATATATGAAGATACTGTGGACAAGGGAAACAAGCATTGGTTTCAAATAAAACCCTTCAATCAAAAGTCAAAGATACAGGTGGTCTGAGGCATACCATTGATTTATGATTCAGCTACTTATAACATATGCTACTCTTTAGAGTGCTCTACTTTAGGAAGCAGGAATATTGTATTTAACAATGCTGAATGATTCTCCTAGGCATACAGGGGGGACATCTAGTTACATACAATACTGTCAGGCTGAAATAGCCTGTAATTAATTATTCAGATTTATCTTAGGTATAAATGTTATGCTGAACAATTACAAAGCTCTGATTGGGGGTTCTGTTGATCTGACATTGAACAAAAGTCGCATTTATACATTTATTTAGGAAAATAAATGTAACATGATGTGTTCTAGAACTTAGAAGTTAGAAAAGTGAAAATGACATACTACATTGAGAATTTTGGCTTTAGAATACATGCGGACCTTTAGTCAATACTTCCTGTTATTCTCCTATTTGTTCTGAATGAGGTTAATAACTTCTTTTCAATAAGTGATAAACTAGCTATTGTTTGCCTATGCTTTAGAATGTAGAACAAATATTAAGTTCTCTTAGAGAGAAAATAAAATTGTTAATTTAACCAAGAAAAAATGTATGTAAGAAAATTAAGTTCACTATACTTTTGATATGAAGAAAAAATGAGTCTTCTTGTACACACTCAGGTGTATAGCAGAGAATCTATTTAGTCACCAGGAATTAAATACCTAAATGTAAATACTTCTGAAAAATTGCAAATGAATTAGTAGACATTTGGGAAAAGACTTTCTGTGCCTTGTTTCCAATTTTAGGCATAAAATATTCAGTGTTTAACTATTAACTGTGATGTTTACCTGTAGATTTTTCATAGATGCCCTTTATCAGATTGTTGGATTTCCTTTCTGTTCGTAGTTTGCTGAGAAACTTAGAGTCTTTGTCAAATCTTTTTTTATCTGCAACTATTTAATCTTATAATTTTGTTAATTACTCACTTAATACACTGAATTATGTTGACTGATTCTTGAATGTTACATTGGCTTTTAATTTAATTTGGTTTTAGTATCTTATATTGTTTATGTATGGCAGGGCTTTGTTAATATTTTATAAAGTATTTATTTCACTTATGTTCATGAGAGGTTTTAATCTGTAATTTTGTTCTTAAAATGTTTTATCAAGTGTAAAGCAGGTTTATGTCAGTCTCATAAAACCACTTATATAAAACTGGTTCTATTTGTTCCATAATTTTAAACATGTTTTATTGATGCATAATAATTGGACATATTTATGGGCTATATTTGACATATGTATACAATATTTTGACACATGCAATACAATATGTAATGATCAAATCATGATATGTAAGATATCCATCATCTCAAACAATTTTTTTTTATTATTTGCTTGTTGGGAACATTTCTTTTTCTTTTTTAATTTATTATTATTATACTTTAAGTTTTAGGGTACATGTGCACAACATGCAGGTTTGTTACATATGTATACATGTGCCATGTTGGTGTGCGGCACCCATTAACTCGTCATTTAGCATTAGGTATATCTCCTAACGCTATCCCTCCCCCCTCCCCCCACCCCACAACAGGCCCCGGTGTGTGATGTTCCCTTTCCTGTGTCCATGTGTTCTCATTGTTCAATTCCCACCTATGAGTGAGAACATGCGGTGTTTGGTTTTTTGTCCTTGCGATAGTTTGCTGAGAATGATGGTTTCCAGCTTCATCCATGTCCCTACAAAGGACATGAACTCATCCTTTTTTATGGCTGCATAGTATTCCATGGTGTATATGTGCCACATTTTCTTAGTCTATCATTGTTGGACATTTGGGTTGGTTCCAAGTCTTTGCTATTGTGAATAGTGCCACAATAAACATATGTGTGCATGTGTCTTTATAGCAGCATGATTTATAATCCTTTGGGTATATACCCAGTAATGGGATGGCTGGGTCAAATGGTATTTCTGGTTCTAGATCCTTGAGGAATCGCCACACCGAATTCCACAATGGTTGAACTAGTTTACAGTCCCACCAGCAGTGTAAAAGTGTTCCTATTTCTCCACATCCTCTCCAGCACCTGTTGTTTCCTGACTTTTTAATGATTGCCATTCTAACTAACTGGTATGAGATGGTATCTCATTGTGGTTTTGATTTGCATTTCTCTGATGGCCAGTGATGATGAGCATTTTTTCATGTGTTTTCTGGCTGCATAAATGTCTTCTTTTGAGAAGTGTCTGTTCATATCCTTCGCCCACTTTTTGATGGGGTTGTTTGTTTTTTTCTTGTAAATTTGTTTGAGTTCATTGTAGATTCTGGATATTAGCCCTTTGTCACACAGGTAGGTTGCAAAAATTTTCTCCCATTCTGTAGGTTGCCTGTTCACTCTGATGGTGGTTTCTTTTGCTGTGCAGAAGCTCTTTAGTTTAATTAGATCCCATTTGTCAGTTTTGGCTTTTGTTCATCCCTGGGATGCAAGGCTGGTTCAACATACAAAAATCAATAAACGTAATCCAGCATATAAACAGAACCAAAGACAAAAACCACATGATTATCTCAATAGATGCAGAAAAGGCCTTTGAAAAAATTCAACAACACTTTATGCTAAAAACTCTCAATAAATTAGGTATTGATGGGACGTATTTCAAAATAGTAAGAGCTATCTATGACAAACCCACAGCCAATATCATACTGAATGGACAAAAACTGGAAGCATTCCCTTTGAAAACTGGCACAAGACAGGGATGCCCTCTCTCACCACTCCTATTCAACATAGTGTTGGAAGTTCTGGCCAGGGCAATCAGGCAGGAGAAGGGAATAAAGGGCGTTCAATTAGGAAAAGAGGAAGTCAAATTGTCCCTGTTTGCAGATGACATGATTGTATATCTAGAAAACCCCATCATCTCAGCCCAAAATCTCCTTAAGCTGATAAGCAACTTCAACAAAGTCTCAGGATACAAAATCAATGTGCAAAAATCACAAGCATTCTTATACACCAATAACAGACAAACAGAGAGCCAAATCATGAGTGAACTCACATTCACAATTGCTTCAGAGAGAATAAAATACCTAGGAATCCAACTTACAAGGGATGTGAAGGACCTCTTCAAGGAGAACTACAAACTACTGCTCAATGAAATAAAATAGGATACAAACAAATGGAAGAACATTCCATGCTCATGGGTAGGAAGAATCAATATCGTGAAAATGGCCATACTGCCCAAGGTAATTTATAGATTCAATGCCATCCCCATCAAGCTACCAATGCCTTTCTTCACAGAATTGGAAAAAAACTACTTTAAAGTTAATATGGAACCAAAAAAGAGCCCACATTGCCAAGTTAATCCTAAGCCAAAAGAACAAAGCTGGAGGCATCACACTACCTGATTTCAAACTATACTACAAGGCTACAGTAACCAAAACAACATGGTACTGGTACCAAAACAGGGATGTAGACCAATGGAACAGAACAGAGCCCTCAGAAATAATGCCGCATATCTACAACTATCTGATCTTTGACGAACCTGACAAAAAGAAGAAATGGAAGAATTCCCTATTTAATAAATGGTGCTGGGAAAACTGGCTAGCCATATGTAGAAAGCTGAAACTGGATCCCTTCCTTACACCTTATACAAAAATTAATTCAAGTTGGATTAAAGACTTAAACATTAGACCTAAAACCATAAAAACCCTAGAACCTCTTTTGGACCTCCTAGGCAATACCATTCAGGACATAGGCATGGGCAAGGACTTCATGCTTGTTGAAAACATTTCAAATCTTTTCCTTTAGCTATTTTAAAATATACAATATAGTGTTGTTAAATATAGTCACTCTAAATTTTTAATTAAATTTACCAGTTAGGCCATATGGGCTAGAACTTTCTTTGTGAGTGGTACATTTTCTACTACTAATAATAATTCTGTAATAATAGTATTTAAATTCATCAAATTTGTCTCTTACATATTCCTTTCTGTGTCAGTTTTGATGAGTTATGTTTACTCATCAATCCATCCATTTTATAAAAATCATCAATTATTTGCCATGAAGTTTTTCATATTGTCTTCTTATCACTTACTTAATGTCTGTAGTATTTGTAGTGATGTTTTTTCTTTCCTTCTTGATATCTGTCATTTTTTGTTTTCTCTGGTTTTTATACTTGACTAGATTTTTGTTAGGAGATAATTACTTTTATTAATCTATCCAGGGAACTGATTTATCATCTTCTTTTCTCTGTTTGTTGTACATTTTATTGATATCCACTGTTACTTTCATTCATTCATTTTTTCCATTTACTTACATTGAGTTTTGTTCCTTGTTATCTAGAGTTATAAGGTGGAAACTAAGATCATTGATTTTATACTTTTACTATAGAAGCATTTAATCCTATATATGTCCGCTCTAAGTTGGGCTTCAGTTTTGACAGTTACTTTTGATGTCAAAGCAATTCTGACGGTTTTATTCTTCCAACACATTAAAAATAACATTCCATGGTCTTCTGTCTTTCATTGTTTATGATAAGAAAGCAACTGTCAGTCTTAGCATTTACTCAATATATGGAATGTATGTTTTATTCTTTGGCTGTTTTAAAGATACTTTTCTATTTCAGTATTTGCCCTTGATGTTCTTAAGTGTATTTTACTGTGGTGGTTGTTGTTTTGTTTTGACTTTTTTTTTTTTTAAATTCAGCTTGGACACACTAAGATTTCTATATCTTTGAGTTGATGTCGTTATTGTATTAGTCCATTTTCACACTGCTATAATGAACTGCCCCAAACTGGGTAATTTATAAAAGAAAGTGGTTTAATTGACTCACAGTTCAACATGGCGGTGGAGGCCTCAGGAAACTTACAATCATGGCAGAACGTGAAGGTGAAGCAAGGTACCTTCTTCACAAGGTGGCAGGAAGAAGAATGAACACAAGAGGAACTACCAAACACTTATAAAACCATCAGATCTCCTGAGAACTCACTCACTATCATGAGAACAGCATGGGGGAAACTGCCCCCATGATTCAATTACCTCCACCTGGTCTCTCCCTTGACATGTGGGGATTACAGTCATTATGGGGATTACAATTCAAGATGACATTTTGGGTGGGGACACAGCCCAACCATATCTATTTTATAAAACTCTTGGTCATTACCTATCCAAGTATTTCTTCCATTCCACTCCTCTTCCTTTTCTTAATGTTATCGCAGACTGTTTGGTATTGTTCTATGAACCTCAAATTCTTTGTTTCATTTTTTTACTATTTATTGTTTCATTTTTGACAATTTCTATTGACCCTTCTTCATGTTCATGAGTCTGTTCTCTGCTGTATGCAAAAAACTTTTAAGAACCTCAAGTGAATTTGTCATCTCCAATATTCACATTTTATTTGTAGCATTTTCAGTTGGCTCAATTTTTATAATTTTTTATCATTGTACTGATACTGTTCACTGGTTATGCATTTTTAATTCCTTAACATATTTATCATAGTTTTTTTAAAGTTCTTTTTGATAATACCTACATATTGCCTATCCTTTAGTCTGCTTTTATTGAATTCTCCTTCTCTTGACCATGGGTAACTTTATCTTGCTTCTTTGCTTGCTATACAATGTGTATTAGTAAACATTAAAAATTGATATGAATAATATTTATATCCAGAACACAAATCACCTCTACTGCTCTACATCCACTAATCTGAATTGAGCTGAAGTTGAAATTAGACTCTATTTCCTTTTGGGATCATAATTTTCAGGTGAGATCTGCACTTTCACTTGAGCATGCCTTGATATCTGAGTACCAGGGAGACTGCAGACATTTTTTTCCTCTCCAGCCCAGCAGCTCAGTTTCTGATTCATGAGATATTTTGTTTTGCTTTGCGTGGCTTTCCAGTTTTGGAGATTGACATGGATTTGTTTGTTCATTTCAATCCTGGCATTATAGACATCAGGGGATCTCTACCCTGCTGTAATACCTCCAACCTTTGAAGAATCTCTGCAGTATATTCACTGAAGATATAGACAGCTTTACAGTGATTTCTCTCAGCTCTCGTACAGCCAGACTTCAGAAGCCAGCAGCCAGAAACCACTGGCTTGCACACAGTAAAGGTCTCGAATTTGTGAGATAAATTCCTTTCAGCCCTCTGGCCCTGATATCTTCCACTGGGTAATGTGTAATTCAGTAGATATTCTCTCAGTTCACCTTTTTACCCCAGCCTTTTGTGAACTATTCCTACGCAGTTTGAGATGTTCTTTGGGAAAAGGCTGATGGTGTGTACAAATTCTTTCTGTGACTGGAGGTCTTGGTAATTTTCATCTGTTACACTGGCTCACACCTGAACATTAAGGTTTATTAAAGTTTTGACTTGTTTTTCTTACTAGTATTTATTTCAAATTCCTCCTTCACGCCTTTTAGTCAGAGATTAAAACATCTTTGTGTACCTTGTTTTCTAGGAATTTCTTTCTCTATATTTTAATTAATTTAGGTTTATTAGAATCTTCAACTATCTCATGAGGGAAAAATATAGTACTATAGCCTGGCTTCTTTCAGTAGTTAAGATTGGAAGTATAAATCACAAGATTTTCTATGTTCTATTTAAAAGTAAAATCAAGTTTGGGTGTTTTTCTTTTTGTTTTTTACTGAAAACATAATATAAGTTAGCCATTAGTTTTAAAACACAAATTGGTTTGTTTTGATGATCTAAGTAACAGAATGTTAAGGTGTTCTTTAAATTCCTCAATTTTAAGCAAATTTCTTTTAGTCAAGTAACTATTGGACATCCACTTTCTAGTTAGTCCCCATATAATAGTAAGCATTTACTGTAAAGTAAACTGTATCAAATATGCACTAAAAAAAAGAAGTCCAGAGTGAAGAATACTGTTTTTTCTCAGTAAAACAGAACAAAACAAAAATTATAAATCTTCCAAGACATTTCCCGTAAAAACAGAACCCAGTTGTACTCATGGAAATATACAATGATAATCCTGCATTATTTTTTTTTTTTTTTTGTGTCAGAGTCTCACTCTGTCACCCAGGCTAAAGTGCAGTGGAGCAATGTCGGCTCACTGCAGCCTCTGCCTCCTGCATTCAAGCAATTCTCCTGCCTCAGCCTCCCGAGTAGCTGGGACTATAGGCAAGCACCATGGCACCCGACTAATTTTTGTATTTTTAGTAGAGATGGGTTTTCACCATGTTGGCCAGGCTGGTTTCGAACTCCTGACCTCAGATGATTTGCCCACCTTGGCTTCTCAAAGTGCTAGGATTACAGGCATGAGCAACCATACCCGGCCAATAAGGCCACATTAAAAAAAAAAAAAAATTAGCAACCAGCTTTTGAGAACTATGGCATTATAATATTTTTATTCAATACTCCATTTTATACACAAATTTCCAAAAATACTGTGATTATACATGGGCCACATATATCATCTGTTTTTTCAAACATATTTTCACCAATCTCTAGTCTAGTCATAACACTATTTTAATGTTTTATCTCTTAGCACTTTTGTTTTTACTAAAATAACATTTCTTCCAAAAATAGTAAATCAGGAAAAAGAAAACATGGTGAAAGATCCTGCAGAGTATAGATTAGATAAGGAAAAAGAAAATTGTCCATCACACTTGTTTATTAAAAATAAATGTATACACAATCAAAGAAGCTCATATTTAAAAGACAAAACAGAAAGAGAGGAAGAATGTGTGAGAGAGGATAGAATATATAGCAAAATTATTGTAGCATTAAATTAAAAAATGGTACAATAGCTAAACAGAAAATTCAAATTTCAGTTAGTTACCTCATGATATATCTGTGTCCACTATGGACATGACTTTGAGCAAAATTAGATATTGGGTAAGTGTTGTTAATAATTTGGGACTTTATCATTAGACCAGCTTTTTCTATTCTGATATATTATGACAACAAATGCCATTGTAAATATCTATCAATAACAATCTGAGTTTTAGACATTCAGAAATCATGTTTTTATACACACATGATTAAAAATTGAAAAAATATATATTTAAATATTTGCTAATTGCAACTATATTATATTAATAATAAAATGAATTAAATGGAATTAACAAACTGAAAGGGAGGGAAAACAAAAGTAGTCAATATTATGTCATTAAAATTGAAAAAATATTTGTGTTTTCTACCCATTTAATTGGAAAAATAAAAGTATACACCTATGTTTTCATTTAAAGTACAAATAAAAAACAGTGGTTTGGACCACAGCACAATCAAATTGGAAATCAAAGTTAAGAAATTTACTCAAAATCATACAATTACATGGATATTGAATAACCTGCTCCTGAATGATTTGGGTAAATAATGAAAGTAAGGCAGAAATCAATAATTTATTTGAAACTAATGAGAACAAAGATACGCCATACCAGAATCTCTAGGACACAGCTAAAGCAGTGTTAACAGGGAAATTTATAGTATTAAGTGCCCATATCAAAAAAATAGATCTCAAGTCACAACCTAACATTACAACTAAAATAACTAGAGAAGCAAGAGCAAACAAATCCCAAAGCTGGCAGAAGACAAGAAGTAACCAAAATCAGAGCTGAACTGAAGGAGAGAGAAACACGAAAACCATTCAAAAGATAAACAAATCCAGGAGCTGGCATTTGAAAAATTTAATAAAATATATATACCACTACCTAGACTAATAAAGAAGAGAGAAGATTCAAATAAACACAATCAGAAATGATAAGTGGGATATTACCACTGACCCCACAGAAATACAAACAACCATCAGAGAATATTATAAAAATCTCCATGAACATAAAATAGAAAATCTAGGATAAATGAATAAATTCCTGGACACATATACCCTCTCAAGACTGAACTAGGAAGAAATTGAATCCCTGAACAGACCAATAGCAAGTTTTGAAATTGAGGCAGTAGTAAATAACCTACCAACCAACAAAAGCCCAGCACCAGACAAATTCACAGCTGTATTCTACCAGTTGTAAAAAGAAGAGCTGGCACCATTTCTACTTAAACTATTCTCCAAAATTAAAAAGGAGTGACTCCCCCCTAACTCATTCTATGAGGCCAGCTTCATCCTGGCAGAAATACAATACAAAATGAAAATTTCTGGCCAATATCGTTGATGAACATCGATGCAAAAATCCTCAAGAAAATACTCACAAAACAAATTCAGCAGCACATCAAAAAGCTTATTCTCCATGAACAAGTAGGCTTCATCCCTGGGATGCAAGTTTGGTTCAACATACACAAATTAATAAACATGATTCATCACATAATCAGAACTAAAGACAAAGCCACATGATTATTTCAATAGATGCAGAAAAGTCTTTCAATAAAATTCAACATCCCTTTATGTTAAAAACTCTCAATAAGCTATGTATTAAAGAAAAATACCTCAAAATATTAAGAGCCATATATGATAAACCCACAGCCAGCATCATACAGAATGGACAAAACCTGTAAGCATTCCCTTTGAAAACCGGCACAAAACAAGGATGCCCTCTCTCACCGTCTTATTCAACATAGTATTGGAAGTTCTGTCCAGGGCATTCAAACAGGAGAGACAATAATAAACAATGAAATAATAATAAAAGACATTCAAATAGGGAGAGAAGAAGTCAAAGTATTCCTGTTTGCAGATGACATGATCCTATATCTAGAAAACCCCATCGTCTCAGCCTAAAAGCTTCTTAAGCTCTTGAGCAACTTCAGCCAAGTTTTGTATCTCAGGATACAAAATCGATGTGCACAAATCACTAGCATTCCTATACACCAACAACAGTCAAGCTGAGAGCCAAATCACAAACAAACTACCATTCCACAATTGCCACAAAAAGAATAAAATACCTAGGAATACTGCTAACTAGGGAGATGAAAGATCTCCATAAGGAGAACTATAAACCACTGCTCAAATAAATCAGAGGGCACAAACAAATGGAAAAACATTCCATGCTCATGGGTAGGAGGAATCAATATTGTTAAAATGGCCATACTGCCCAAAGTAATTTATAGATTCCATGCTATTCCCATTAAACTACCATTGACATTCTTCACAGAACCAGAAAAAACTATTTTAAAATTTATATGAAACCATAAAAGATCCCAAATAGCCAAGAGAATCCTAAGCAAAAAGAAGAAAGCTGGAAGTATCACACTACCCTACTTTAAACTATACCACAGGGCTATGGTAATCAAAACAGCATGATACACAGACAAGAACAGACAAATGAAACTGTATAGAGTACCCAGAAATAAGACCTCACACCTGCAACTATCTGATATTTACAAACCTTACAAAGCAATGGAGAAGGGATTCCCTATTCAATAAATGTTGCTGGGATAGCTGGCTAGCAATATGCAGATGATTGAAAGTGAACCCCTTCCTTATACCATATACAAAAATTAACTCAAGATAGATTAAGACTTAAATATAAAACCTAAAACTGAATATCCTGGAAGACAACCTAGGCAATAGGTTTGAGCATTCAGAACAAACTTCACGCAAATAAAGCAATTGTAACAAAAGCAAAAATTGACAAATGAGATCTAATTAAACTAAAGTGCTTCTGCACAGCAAAGGAAACTATCAACAGAGTAAACAGACAACCTACAGAATGGGAGAAAAATTTTGCAAACTATGCATCTGACAAAGGTCTAATATCCAGCATCTATCAGGAAATTAATAAATTTAGAAGATAAAAACAAACAATTGCATAAAAAAGTGGGCAAAGTACATGAACAGACACTTCCCAAAAGACATGCATGCAGCCAACAATCATATCAACATCACAGATCATTAGAGAAATGCAAATGACAGCAATAATGAGATACAATCTCATATCAGTCAGAATGGCTATTACTAAAAAGTCAAAAAATAACAGATACTAGCCAAGTTGTGGAGAAAAAGGAATGCTTATATACTGTTGGTCAAAGTGTAAATTAGTTCAACAATTGTGGAAGACACTGTGGAAGTTCCTTGAAGACCTAAAGACAGAAATATCATTTGACCCAGTGATTTCATTATTGGTTATATACTCAAAGGAATATAAATCATTCTATTATAAAGACACATGCACCTGTATGTTCATTGCAGCACTATTCACAATGGCAATGACGTGGAATTCACCTGAATATCCATTAAGTATGGACTAGATAAAGAAAATATGGTACATATACACCATGGAATACTGTGCAGCCATAAAAATGAGATCTATCCTTTGCAGGGACTTGGATGCAGCTGGAGGCCATTATTCTTAGCAAATAGGAATGGAAAACCAAATACCACATGTTCTCAGTTATTAGTGGGAGCTAAATGAAGAGACCCAGCGGACACATAGAGGGGAACAACACACACCTGGGCCTACTGGAGGGTAGCGTGTGGGAGGAAAGAGAGGGTCAGGAAAAATAACTAATGGGTTCTAGCCTTAATACCTGAGTGATGAAATAATCTGTACAAGAAATCCCCACAACACGTTTACCTATATAACAAACCTGCACATGCACCCCTGAACTTAAAAGATAAACATATCAATATCTATGTTTGTATTAAAAGTACAAGTAAATATATAAATGATAAATGATAACATATCAATTTTTTCACATCTTCTCCCCTGCATAACTATATCTCTCTTCTTTTACTTGAAGTGATTTTTAAAATACTGATATTTTCATGTGAGAATGCTAGCTAAACGTTTCCTCACTTAACCTAGTTCTGAAAACAATCAAACAAAAAACTATCAGAAAGGGAGCATTGTCGCAGTTTGCTTGGTTAGAAATAGGAATTAACGCCTGGGCAACATGGAGAAATCCCATCTCTACAGAAAAGAAAACAAACAAACAAAAATCTTAACCAGGCCTTGTGGCACATGCCTGTAGTCCCAGCTACTCCAAAAGCTGGAGGGAGGTGGGAGAATCACCTGAGCCCAGGAAGTTGAGGCTACAATTAGCCTTGATTGCACCACTGCACTGCTGCTTGGGCAACAGAGTGAGAGTGTATCTCAAAAAAAAAAAGAAAAAGAAAAAGAAAAGAAATCGGAATTAATTAAAATTTTAATAGATTCTCCTTTTGTACTTTTGAGACAAGAAAGGGTGAATGCAAAGATATACATTTAGATGCTCCTCACTCCCTAATTATTCTGCATGTGCCTCATAGCAATCTGTTCCTTAAAACCCAGGGGACTTAATGAGAATGTTTTTCTGATTAGAAAACAAATACTTACAATCTACAACTTTTGGAATAAACTCTACTACACATTTTCAAGGTACTCTAGAGAAAGGGAAAACTTTACCAACAATACTTAGAAGAACTAGAATCCTAAACTGTTTTTTATTGTTTACCAGCCATGGTCAACTCAATTCATATGTAATTACTGTAAAATATTAGTGAGATATTATATTCTTTCTAAACATAAGTTATACCAGTTCTAACTAGCCACATTTCAAGGCCTCAGCCACCTCAACCGTTACATGTGGGTAGTGGATATTATGTTTAACAGTGCACTTCTAGTCTCCTAATTCCAAAAACATAGAATGAGTGCAGTATAAACTATAGTCTAAGCTAAATTCTAACTGTATTTAGTTTCTGAATTTTGGAATTTGGTGATGGAGAATGTTAACAAGTAGTCCAAATATGACAAATATTTTCAGAGATTAAGTATAACATGATGATATGGAAGCATAAACAAGCTTTCCTTTATAGTGACAAGATACCTAGTTTTTGAAAGTGCTTCTTTGATTCGACAAAGTTTAAAAATAAATGTTAAGGCCGGGGGTGGTGGCCTGTAATCCCAGCACTTTGGGAGGCCATGGGGGGCGGATCACCTGAGGTTGGGAGTTCGAGCCCAGCCTGACCAACATGGAGAAACCCCGTCTCTACTAAAAATACAAAAAAGAATTAGCCGGGCATGGTGGTGCATGCCAGTAATCCCAGCTACTCGGGAGGCTGAGGCAGGAGAATTGCTTGAACCCGGGAGGCAGAGGTTGCAGTGAGCTAAGATCGCACCATTGCACTCCAGGCTGGGCAACAAGAGTGAAACTTCGTCTAATAAATAAATAAATAAATAAATAAATAAATAAATAAATAAATGTATGTTAAAAAGACCTGAAAGTTATTCAAACATTTTCAAATCTCTCAAGTAATTTGAATACAGTATTTTTCAAATGTTAGCAAACTTAGAATTGCCTAAGAAGGCTTATTAAAATGTATCTGCCAGCTATGCTTACAGAAATTCTGATCTAGTAGGACTTCTGTGGATCTGAGAAATTGTATTCGTATATAAACATCCCCATTGTTTCTCGTGTAAGTGGCTCACGTATTACACTTTGAGAAACACCATGCTAGTGTCTACAATGACTTAATTATACATTCAGTCTGTTTTGTATTGTTTTGGGTCTACATTAGCATGCTTAAGAAATAAAAAATTAGGAAAATTTTCTCTGGGTTATCTGTGTATCAATGATATATCTATCTTTTAATCAGTTAATTTATTTACTTTTGCATTTTACCATAAAAATTATCAACATGAGTTTTCAATATTTTTCAGTGGTTCATTTTCTCTGAATATTTTTTATTCATTTTATGCTGTTTATATGTTATATGAATAGTATCTCCTTGAATTTCTCTGAGTATATTAATTAGAGCTTTTTAAAAATACTTTGTTTCCTTTAATTTCAGCTTTTGGGACTATTTTTCTTTGTCTGCCATTTTGACATCTATTTGACACATGTATGAAAATCTTCATGGACCATTATATCTACTTTATAAAAATTATCACACATCAGCCTCAAGTTGTCTCTACTGACTACCAATCCCTATTTTAGAACCAAAGAATATTCCCCTTTCTTATTTGCATTCATCTGCCCTCTGACATTTTGGCAGATGCTTTATGGTTTGAAGTTGCTAATTCTGTTCAATAGCTCATCCATTGTTTTAGATCTCTAAAATAATTGATACACCTGTGTTTTCCAAATTTTATCTGGCACAAACAAAGGCAACTTTTTATATGAACAATTTATGATCACTCAAGATTTAAGTTGGAGTGTGAGAGTGATTTTAAGTGGAGCACAATGAGTGTTTTTTTCAATAGGGTCTTCACTGAAGTACAACTTCAATGTTTGACCTAAAGTTACCATTTTTTTTTCCGCCTTAGAGATACATCAAAGCCCTCAAAAGGTAACTATTCTAGTTGCTACTGATAAGTCATGTAGTTAGGTCCTTGGACAGGGCTGTTAACCCATAATTCCTTCTTCTATGCCTACAAAGTAAAATTAATACACTTGAAGATTTTATAATATTGATATTTGTAATTTTTAAAAAAGAGTTATATAGTTTTTTTTTGCTTCAATTGCTACACAAGCAAAATAGCATAGTAATATTTTTGGATAACTGCATTGTTAGAAATATGCACTGAAGCCAAGGCACGGAAACAATTATCTAAGTAGCATGCAAATAGCACTAAAGTACTAGCTACTGAGGCATTAACCTATTAATGCATGTATCTAAGCATAAAATGCCAGAAATGTTATTCCATAGTAGACTATTTTAGAAAAAGCAAGCTGTTGACTGAAGAAATATATCTACTTTCTCTAAGTGTAGCAAAATCAACTTTAGTGCACATTAAATGGTTACAGAACAGATTATTAAACTGTTTTTGAATAAATACATGAATGAATACATGTTCCTTTTACAGCAGTTATTTGCTATATAACCACTTCTAGGACAATTTTCGCAATCTGAATATGCATCAGATTAGGAATTGGGCTCTGGAATTCTTGGTAAAGTAAGTAAATGGACACTTTGGGGCTCAATGAAAGAAGGTAGGGGAGGTACAGATAAAGAAAATTTACAGATAATATGTTTGAAGTAGCGAAGATATGTGAAAATTACCACATAGTTTATCACATGATAATGCAGAGTTTTTATTTCAGAAAGAAAACTGAATAATGAGCAATATGGATAATCCCTAAACCAGAGCCATAATGGGGAAGTTTCAAAGAGAAAGAATGTTGTTGGAATTAATATTGCCATATATGATAAAGCTTAATAGGGTGTCTGATATGTAAGAACACTGAAATGATTTTTAAAGCGTTCACATTAACAGTTCTGTTTTCAAATAGTTTTGTGCATGGTCTTAAGAAAAAGCTATTGAAATCCTATTCAGGTTTTCAGTCATGTGGAGTAACATTATGAGTTGAATAAGAAGATGCTGTATAATATTTGACTTTTGACTTACTTGTCTCTTCTAGAAACATATTCCTATAAGTTTATTAGAAATTAATTTTTAAAATATTGGGGCATCTGATTATAGAAAGATCAATTAGATATCTTTTCCCTATTCCTTTAACTAAGTATAACCCCAAATCCTGGATATTATATATAAAAGAGACATAGGAAGAAAGAAAGAAAGGTGGGGAGAAGAAGGAAGATCGGGTAAGGTTCACAACCCAACCCTGGATCCTAAACTTTTTGACACCACTCCTACAGGGAAAGGGTGAGGAATTTTCCTGATTTCTATCAGCTCCAGGTGGAATGTCTGGCTCTCTACTTGCTGTCTTGAACCCAGGGTTGGGTCCTCATTATCGGTGGGGATCAGAGTTTCAGCTCAATTCAAGACTTACACTGATACCCTACCACTTGAGAAAAACAGGAGTGCCTCATTACTGCTCCCCCATGTGACCAGGAAAAGACATGATGAAGTTCCCTGGGTTTCTTTTGCTTCATTTATCCCAGAAGACAGCAACCTAGAAACAATGGACACACACACTTATGCACATTTACACGCACGCACGCATGCATGCATACATTCAACAACAAAAGCCTGCTCTCTCTAATCAAATCAGCGGGAAAGAGGCAGCTTCACAGACCAGAAAACTTTTACACAATGAACACCTTTCTTCAAATAAACAACACAGAGAAAACAGAGGTCCTACACCCACCTACACTAGTGAGCCTAGATGTCCACACTCATCAAGCTGCAACTAAGCACTCCAACCACCTCAACCCCTCAACAACTCTACTGAGGTGCCCATAGCAGAAGTTTTGTGCCCTACATCTGGTCCAGCCGCAACCTTGCATGGAGCTGCCCACCTCACTGCAGCAGCCAGCATGGCTGGTTGTGCGCAGTGCCCGGACCCTGCGCTTGCTCACCAAAACACCTTTCACGTCGCCCTTGGCAGGTGTGGGATCCAGGCTGGAAACTCAAGCTGAGCACAGCCTGCTGGGCCAAGTGGGCGAAATGAGCCCAGCGGGCACATGCAATACTAAGGCAGAAGGCGCCACTGGCCACAGAGGTTTCTGGCTGATGAAGCGACACTCCAAGGATCCCGTGACATTTTCAGTCATCACTAGCCAATGGTTACAAGACTACCCATCACTGACCTCCACCCAATGTGTGGTGGAGGTCAAATGTAGGAGAAGTAATTTGGCACTCCTACTTTTTTCAGTCAGCGAAGTATCAGTGTAAGTTTATAAGGGAGCTGGAACTGATCCCCTCACTTAATAAGGACCCAACCTTGGGTGTCAACAGACTCCAAGCAGAGAACCACGATTTTTACCCTAACCAGACAGAAATAAGGCAGCTTTCCCACTCTTCCTATGCTAAAGTGCTGTCAGGGAAACCCCAAAGTTTAAAAAGACCCAAAGTGTCATGACATAATACAAGTTTTAATAAAAAATTATTCATCTTGGAAGGGGTGGTTCTAAGATGGCCAAATAGGAACAGCTCCAGTCTACAGCTCCCAGCGTGAGCGAGGCAGAAGACAGGTGATTTCTGCGTTTCCAACTGAGGTACTGGTTTCATCTCACTGGAGCTTGTCAGACAGTGGGGACAGGACAGTGTGTGCAGCCCACCGAGCGTGAGCCAAAGCAGGGCAAGGCATCGCCTCACCTGGGAAGTGCAAGGGGTCAGAGAATTCTCCTTCCTAGCCAAGGGAATGGGTGACAGATGGCACCGGGAAAATCAGGTCACTCCCCACCCTAATACTGCGCTTTTCCAATGGTCTTAGCAAACAGCACAACAGGAAATTATATCTCGCACGTGGCTTGGAGGGTCTCATGCCCACAGAGCCTTGCTCATTGCTAGCACAGCAGTCTGAGATGGATCTGCAGGGCGGCAGCGAGGCTCGGGGAGGGGCGCCCACCATTGCTGAAGCTTGAGTAGGTAAACAAAGCCGCCAGGAAGCTCGAACTGGGTGGAGCCCATCGCAACTCAAGGAGGCCTGCCTGCCTCTGTAGACTCCACCTCTGGGGGCAGGGCACAGCTGAAAAAAAGGCAGCAGAAACCTCTGCAGACTTAAATGTCTCTGACAGCTTTGAAGTGAGTAGTGGTTCTCCCAGCATGGAGTTTGAGATCTGAGAATGGACAGACTGCCCCCTCAAGTGGGTCCCTGATCCCCGAGTAGCCTAACTGGGAGGCACCCCCCAGTAGGGGCAGACTGACACCTCACATGGCCAGGTACCCCTCTGAGATGAAGCTTCCAGAAGAACAATCAGGCAGCAACATTTGCTGTTCAGCAATATTTGCTGTTCTGCAGCCTCTGCTGCTCATACCCAGGCAAACAGGGTCTGGAGTGGACCTCTAGCAAACTCCAACAGACCTACAGCTGAGGGTCCTGACTGTTAGAAGGAAAACTAACAAACAGCCACACCAAAACCCCATCCGTATGTCACCATCATCAAAGACCAAACGTAGATAAAACCACAAAGATGGGGAAAAAACAGAGCACAAAAGCTGAAAATTCTAAAAATCAGAGCGCCTCTCGCCCTGCAAAAGAATGCAGCTCCTTGCCAGCAATGGAACAAAGCTGGATGGAGAATGACTTCGACAAGTTGAGAAAAGAAGGCTTCAGATGATCAAACTTCTCCAAGCTAAAGGAGGAAGTTCGAACCCATTGCAAAGAAGCTAAAAACCTTGAAAAAAGATTAGATGAATGGCTAACTAGAACAACCAATGTAGACAAGTCCTTAAATGACCTGATGGAGCTGAAACACATGGCAAAAGAACTACGTGACAAATGCACAAACTTCAGTAGCCAATTTGATCAACTGGAAGAAAGGGAATCAGTGATTGAAGATCAAATGAATGAAATGAAGTGAGAAGAGAAGTTAGAGAAAAAAAGAGCAAAAAGAAACAAACAAAGCCTACGAGAAATATGGGACTATGTGAAAAAACTCAATCTACATCTGATTGGTGTACCTGAAAGTGACGGGGAGAATGGAACCAAGCTGGAAAACACTCTGCAGGATATTATGCAGGAGAACTTCCCCAACCTAGCAAGGCAGGCCAACATTCAAAATCAGGAAATACAGAGAATGCCACAGAGATACTCCTCGAGAAGAGCAACTCCAAGACACATAATTGTCAGATTCACCAAAATTGAAATGAAGGAAAAAATGTTAAGGGCAGCCAGAGAGAAAGGTCAGGTTACCCACAAAGGAAGCCCATCAGACTAACAGCTGATCTCTTGGCAGAAACTCTACAAGCCAGAAGAGAGTGGGGGCAATATTCAACATTCTTAAAGAAAAGAATTTTCAACCCAGAATTTCATATCCAGCCAAACTAGGCTTCATAAGTAAAGGAGAAATAAAATCCTTTACAGACAAGCAAATGCTGAGAGATTTTGTCACCACCAGGCCTGCCCTACAATAGCTCCTGAAGGAAGCACAAATCATGGAAAGGAACAACTGGTACCAGCCACTGCAAAAACATGCCAAATTGTAAAGACCATCAAGGCTAGGAAGAAACTGCATCAACTAACGAGGAAAATAACCAGCTAACATCATAATGACAAGATCAAATTCACACATAACTATATTAACCTTAAATGTAAATGGGCTAAATGCTCCAATTTAAAAGACACAGACTGGCAAATTGGATAAAGAGTCAAGACTCATCAGTGTGCTGTATTCAGGAGACCCATGTCACATGCAGAGACACACATAGGCTCAAAATAAAGGGATGGAGGAAGATCTACCAAGCAAATGGAAAACAAAAAAAGGCAGGGGTTGCAATCCTAGTCTCTGACAAAACAGACTTTAAACCAACAAAGATCAAAAGAGACAAAGAAGGCCATTACATAATGGTAAAGGGATCAATTCAACAAGAAGAGCTAACTATCTTAAACATATATGCACCCAATACAGGAGCACCCAGATTCATAAAGCAAGTCCTTAGAGACCTACAAAGAGACTTAGACTCCCACCCAATAATAATGGGAGATTTTAACACCCCACTGTCAACATTAGACAGATCAACGAGACAGAAAGTTAACAAGGATATCTAGGAATTGAACTCAGCTCTGCACCAAGCAGACCTAATAGACATCTACAGAACTCTCCACCCCAAATCAACAGAATATACATTCTTATCAGCAACACATCACACTTATTCCAAAATGGACCACATAGTTGGAAGTAAAGCACTCCTCAGCAAATGTAAAAGAACAGAAATTATAACAAACTCTCTCTCAGACCACAGTGCAATCAAATTAGAACTCTGGATTAAGAAACTCACTCAAAACTGCTCAACTACATGTAAACTGAACAACCTGTTCCTGAATGACTACTGGGTACATAATGAAATGAAGGCAGAAATAAAGATGTTCTTTGAAACCAACAAGAACAAAGACACAACATACCAGAATCTCTGGGACATATTCAAAGCAGTGTGTAGAGGGAAATTTATAGCACTAAATGCCCACAAGAGAAAGTAGGAAAGATTTAAAATTGACAGCCTAACATCACAATTAAAAAAACTAGAGAAACAAGAGCAAACACATTCAAAAGCTAGCAGAAGGCAAGAAATAACTAATATCAGAGCAGAACTGAAGGAGATAGAGACACAAAAAACCCTTCAAAAAATCAAGGAATCCAGGAGCTGGTTTTTTGAAAAGATCAACAAAATTGATAGACTGCTAGCAAGACTAATAAAGAAGAAAAGAGAGAAGAATCAAATAGAATCAATAAAAAATGATAAAGGGGATTTCACCACCAATCCCACAGAAATACAAACTACCATCAGAGAATACTATAAACACCTCTACACAAATAAACTAGAAAATCTAGAAGAAATGGATAAATTCCTGGACACATACACCCTCCCAAGACTAAACCAGGAAGAAGTTGAATCCCTGTATAGACGAATAACAGGCTCTGAAATTGAGGCAATAATTAATAGCCTACCAACCAAAAAAAGTCCAGGACCAGATGGATTCACAGCCAAATTCTACCAGAGGTACAAGGAGGAGTTGGTACCATTCCTTCTGAAACTATTCCAATCAATAGAAAAAGAGGGAATCCTCCCTAACTCATTTTATGAGGCCAGCATCATCCTGATACCAAAGCCGGGCAGAGACACAACAAAAAAAGAGAATTTTAGACGAATATCCCTGATGAACATCAACCCAAAAATCCTCAATAAAATACTGGCAAACCGAATCTAGCAGCACATCAAAACGCTTATCCACTACGATCAAGTGGGCTTCATCACTGGGATGCAAGGCTGGTTCAACATACGAAAATCAATAAACATAATCCAGCATATAAACATAACCAAAGACAAAAACCACATGATTATCTCAATAGATGCAGAAAAGGCCTTTGACAAAATTTAACAATGCTTCATGCTAAAAACTCTCAATAAATTAGGTATTGATGGGACGTATCTCAAAATAATAAGAGCTATCTATGACAAACCCACAGCCAATATCATACTGAATGGGCAAAAACTGGAAGCATTCCCTTTGAAAACTGGCACAAGACAGGGATGCCCTCTCTCACCACTCCTATTCAACATAGTGTTGGAAGTTCTGGCCAGGGCAATCAAGAAGGAGAGAGAAATAAAGGGTACTCAATTTGCAAAAGAGGAAGTCTAATTGTCCGTGTTTGCAGATGACATGATTGTGTATTTAGAAAACCCCATCATCTCAGCCCAAAATCTCCTTAAGTTGATAAGCAACTTCAACAAAGTCTCAGGATACAAAATCAATGTGCAAAAATCACAAGCATTCTTATACACCAATAACAGACAAACAGAGAGCCAAATCATGAGTGAACTCCCATTCACAATTGCTTCAAAGAAAATAAAATACCTAGGAATCCAACTTACAAGGGATGTGAAGGACCTCTTCAAGGAAAACTACAAACCACTGCTCAACGAAATAAAAGATGACACAAACAAATGGAAGAGCATTCCATGCTCATGGATAGGAAGAATCAATATCATGAAAGTGGCCATACTGCTCAAGGTAATTTATAGATTCAATGCCATCCCCATCAAGCTACCAATGACTTTCTTCACAGAATTGGAAAAAGCTACTTTAAAGTTCATATGGAACGAAAAAAGGGCCTGCATTGCCAAGACATTCCTAAGCAAAAGAAAAAAGCTGGAGGCATCATGCTACCAGACTTCAAACTATACTATAAGGCTATAGTAACCAAAACAGCATGGTACTGGTACCAAAACAGAGATATAGACCAATGGAACAGAACAGAGCCCTCAGAAATAATACCACACATCTACAACCATCTGATCTTTGACAAATCTGACAAAAAGAAATGGGGAAAGGATTTCCTATTTAATAAATGGTGCTGGGAAAACTGGCTAGCCATATGTAGAAAGCTAAAACTGGATCCCTTCCTTACACCTTATACAAAAATCAATTCAAGATGGATTACAGACTTAAATGTTAGACCTAAAACCATAAAAACCCTAGAAGAAAACCTAGGCAATAGCATTCAGGACATAGGCATGGGCAAGGACTTCATGTCTAAAACAACAAAAGCAATGGCAACAAAGGCCAAAATTGACAAATGAGATCTAATTAAACTGAAGAGCTTCTGCGCAGCAAAGGAAAGTACCATCAGCGTGAACAGGCAACCTACAGTATGGGAAAAAATTTTTGCAATCTACTCATCTGACAAAGGGCTAATATCCAGAATCTACAAAGAACTCAAACAAATTTACAAGAAAAAAACAAACAACCCCATCAAAAAGTGGGTGAAGGATATGAACAGACACTCCTCAAAAGAAGACATTTATGCAGCCAACAGACACATGAAAAAATGCTCACCATCACTGTCCATCAGAGAAATGCAAATCAAAACCACAATGAGATACCATCTCACACCTGTTAGAATGGTGATCTTTAAAAAGTCAGGAAATAACAGGTGCTGGAGAGGATGTGGAGGAGTAGGAACACTTTTACAGTGTTGGTGGGACTGTAAACTAGTTCAACCATTGTGGAAGACAGTGTGGCGATTCCTCAAGGATCTAGAACTAGAAATACCATTTGACCCAGCCATCCCATTACTGGGTATATACCCAAAGGATTATAAATCATGCTGCTATAAAGACACATGCACACATATGTTTATTGTGGCACTGTTCACAATAGCAAAGACTTGGAACCAACACAAATGTCCATCAATGATAGACTGGATTAAGAAAATGTGGCACATATACACCATGGAATACTATGCAGCCATAAAAAAGGATGAGTTCATGTCCTTTGTAGGGACATGGATGAATGTGAAACCATCATTCTCAGCAAACTATTGCAAGGAGAAAAACCAAACACCACATGTTCTCATTCATAGGTGGGAACTGAACAATGAGAACACTTGGACACAGGAAGGGGAACATCACACACCAGGGCCTGTCATGGGGTGAGGGGAAGGAGGAGGGATAGCATTAGGAGATATACCTAATGTAAATGATGAGTTAATGGGTGCAGCACACCAACATGGCACATGTATACATATGTAACAAACCTTCACCTTGTGCGTATGTACCCTAGAAATAAATTATAATAAAAAAATTACTCATCATGTCAACAGCAAAGAAGATCTCAAAGTAAATGAATAAAGACAACTAACAGATGCCAACAATGAGATGACAAAAATTACCTGACAAATATTTTTAAGGAGATATCTTAATAATATTTTAATGAATAATTACAAACATGTGCTAAACAAATTGAAATATAGAAAACCCCAGCAAATAAGTAGAATATGTAAAGAAGAACCAAAGGAAAAATTTAAAATGGAAAAACATGATAACCAAATTTAAAATGCTCAATTGATGGGCTCAACAGCAGAATGAAAAGGACAGAGAAACAAATCAGTGAACTTGAAGATAGCTATAGAAATGGCCTAATCTGAAGAACAGAGTGAAAACAGAGAGCAGAGTCTCACAAACCTGTGAAACTATAACAAAATATCTAAAATTAATGACATAGTAGCCCTCTTTAGAAGAAGAGGAGAAAGAGAGTGGGACTGAAAATATACTTAAAGAAATAATGCTAACAACTTCCAAAATTTGACTCACTGAGTCAAAAAGTCAAATAAGTCTAAGGCGAAAAACCACACCAAGGCAAATTACAGTTACAAGTTCTGAAAAATAAAGTCCAAAAATATCATAAGAGCACCAGTAAGAAACAAATACCTTACTTATAGGATAAAACAATGTGAGTAACAGCAAATTTTTCATCAGAAACCATGGAGGCCAAAAAAGGTGTCGCAGTATTTTCCAAGTGCTAAAAGAAAAGAACTGTTAACAACAATCTTATATCTAGCAAAAATATTATTCAAAAATAAAGGAGAAATAAAAACATCCTTAGAGAAAGAAAACTAAGAGAATACATTGCCCTAAAAAATGATAAAAGAAGTTTTCTAAACAATAAGGTGATAGCAAAAGAATGAATCTTGGAACTTTAGTACATAAGGAAGAAAGATCAGGCTCACTAAAAATAAAGAAAAATACAATAGACTTCTTCTCCTGAGTTTTCTTAAACTATGCTTGACAGTTAAAGTGAATGTTTTAAAACTGTGAGATGATCTAAATGTATGTAGAGGAAATATTTAAGATAATTATATTGTGAATAAAGGAGGGTAAAATGACACCAAAAAAGGTAAGGTCTCTATATTTCACTTTGAATGATAAAATTATGATATCAGTAGGCTATAACAGGTATATTAATGTAATGTGTAAAGAACCAATAAAAAGGCTATGCAAAGAGATAGAGTGAAAAACAGTAGAAAAATCAAACTAAAATTATAAAATAAAGTTAAAGTCACAGGAAAGGAGGGAGAAAAAAGAAACAGAAACAAAAACAACAACAAATACATACACAGAAAACAAATAAAATGGTACACTTACATCTTAAGATATCAATATTCCATCACATGTAAATGGTCTAAATATACAAACAAAAATAATTTGGTAGAAAGGATAAAAAGAATGAAACAAAACTATATGCTGTCTATAAGAAACTCATTTCAAATATAATGATTAAGGTATAAAACTAAAAGGAGAGAAAAATATATATCATGCAAATATTAATCAGAGGGAAGCAGAAGAGGCTATATTAATATGAGATAAAATAAACCTCAGAGTAAAGAACATTACCTGAGACAGAGAGGGTATTATATAATGACAATGACTACCCATTAAGAAAACATACCCATTCTAAATGTACATACTCCAAACCACAGAGCTGCAAAATGCGTGAAACAAAAACTGATAAAACTGAAAGGAGACAAAGTCACAATTTAGTTGGAGACTTCAATAGCCCTCTTTTAACAATTAATATAAAAACTAGACACAAAATTTGCAAGAACTTGACAATAGCATCAACCAAGAGGAGCTAAGCAACATTAAAAGAACAGTTCACCCAACCAGAGAAGAACTCACATTCTACTCTACTCTTCACAAAATATGTACCAAGATAGTCTATATTGTGGGCATTAAAATAAATCTTAATAAATTCTAAAGAATTAAACTAATTAATATAGAGTGTGTTCTTTGCCCACAGTGGGATCAAACTGTAAATAAATAAGCATAATGGTAAAGTATCCAAACTCTTAGAACTAAATAACACATTTCTAAATAACTCATAAGTCAAGGAAGATGTGTCAAGGAAAAATTTAAAGATATATTGAACAAAATGAAATTATAATAAACTATATTATAATTTGTGAATCAGAGCTATGGGAGTGCTGAGAGAAATGCATATTTGGGAAGACGGTCCTAACTCCATTATCTAAGCTGCCACTTCAAGAAAATAAAAAAGAAGAACCAAATAAAACCAAACAAGTAGAAGGAATGAAATAATAAAAATAAGAGCATAAATAAATAAAATTCAAAATAAAAATAATAGAATCAATGGCACACAGAGCTCATTCTTTGAAAATATCAAGGAAATAGACAAACCTCTAGTTTGATGAGAAAACACACACACATACACAGACACACACACACTAAAACGTAAGTTATCAATACTAGAATAAAACAAGTAGTATTACTGTAGACTCTGAAGACATCAAAGACATAGTCAGGGAATACTCCACACCCATAAATTTGACAATTTAGATAATGAAGACACTTCCTCAAAAGAAACATAAACAACCACCACAGCTCACACAATATGAAATAATAGATAATTTTCTGGTAAGGAAATTGAATTTATAACTTTAAAACTCTCAAAATAGAAAATATCTCTAGGCCCAGATAGTTTCATTGCAGAATACCACTAACTGTTTAAAGAAGAATAAACACCAATTCTACATAATATAATCCAGAAAACAGAAGAGTAGGAAATGGTTTTTATTTCATTTGAAGAAGCTAGTATTACCCTAATATCAACACTAGACAGCATAATGCAAAAAAAGAAAGAAAACTGTAGACCAATGTCTCTCATGAATGCAGATACAAAAATTATCAATGAAATATTAACAAATAGAATTTAGTCATATTAAAAAAGAATTATACGCTACAACATAATGAGGTTTATTCCAAGTATATAAGCCTATTTCAGTATTTGAAAATCAATGTGATTAACAAGCTAAAGAGGAAAAATAATATATTAATTAATGCAGAAAATATTGGATATCTCTGTGTTCATTTCTATGCTGAAAGCTAATGTTCACAATTCCTTTTGTAGTCTGATACTTAGAAGAAAAACAAGCAATCATGTATGTATATACAAGTAGGGCAATTTTGAAGTTTTAGAGAAGTGAACAGCAATTACAAGTTTGTTGGAAATCACATCTTTACTATCTCAGTGACTCAGATGGAGAGAAGAAATATTATTTATTTGTATAATTTACTTATCTTTAGTAAGAAATTATTCTCAGGATGTTCATTTTATACAACTAACATCGATTAATTCAAACACTAGACTTAGAGAGGATCTTCCTCACCTTGAAAAAGAGCACCTTCAAAAACCTACAGCTATCATTGTTCTCTATGACAAAAGGTTAAACATTTTCCCTCTAAGTTCAGGAATAAGTCAAGCTTATCTGCTTTCACAACTTTTATAAGTCATAGTGACTGACTTTCTAGCCACCATAATAACAAAAGTCAAGGGAATAAATGCATGCAAATTGGAAAGGAAGAAATAAAAATGTCCCTACTTATAGATGACATGATTGTTTATATAGAAAATCCTAAGGAATCTAAACAAAAACAAAATTAAACAAAACTCATAGAAATAATAGGTGACCACAACAAGTTTAAAGGACACAGCGCAAACATACAAAAGTACACTGTATTTCCATGTACTGGCAATGAAAATGTGACCTCCAAAATTAAAAATACAATGCCATATATTCTGGCTCAAAAAATAGAATATATAAGTGTGAATCTATTAAATCATGTAAAGGATTTGCTTGCTTGTCACTACAAAATGCTGTTGAAATAAGTTTTTAAAAATATAAGTAAATGAAGAGTATATTGTGATTATCGCTTGGAAGACTCTACATAGTAAAGATGTCAATTCTCATCACATTTATATACAGATGTAATCAATTCCTATAACACCCTCAGCAAGATTTTTTTTTTTGTAAATCTAGACAAAATTATTCTACAATTTATATGGCAGGGCAAAAACCCTAGGATAACTAAAATAGCATTGGGGAGAAAATGAATAAAGGAGGAAAAATTAATTTATGCGTTTCAAGACTTATTATATAGCTTCAATATATAAGGCTGTGTAAATGGCAGAGGGTTTGACACGTAGATCACTGGAACAGAATAAATAACCTGGTGATAGATCCACACAAATATGGAAGGAATAGTCACAAAAAGCGTAACAATAAATATGGATCAGGCCTCTTCCTCATTTTTTTTCATCCAAGTAATCTCTGAAATATCTGTTTTAATTCAAAGAAGGGAGAGGCTTCCAAAGTTAATCATTATAAACTAATTAACTGTAGTAAGGTATGTGTGTATGTGTATAATAAAAATGTATAATGAGAAATGTCTCAAACTACAAAAATTGTAGAAAATTTTATACTTCTTATGAGTACTGAATTCTTTTTCTCCTTTTAATATTCTAAAGCAGATGGATGGAGAAATCAACAGAGAGTAAGAAAGCCTTTTGGGAAATGAGTTAAGATATCATTATTATCTTTGCCAATTAGCATTTATTGAGCAATTGGGTGCTTGATATTTCAAGCATCTCCATAGAGACACCATATTGAGACAAATTTCTGCATTCTGTTAATTTATGGTTGTCTGTTAGAGGATAAGACTAACCTGATCATGCATTATACTGTGTGAAGTTATTCTCAGGATTGTTTCTCTAAGAGAAATTAAATTTTTAAACAAGTTAATTTGTATATGTTATTAAAATATTTATAATTGGAACCTATTTGTTTCAATACATATTTTACAAAGTTGAAAACTTTACCTTGTAAAGTGTTTCTGTGAGCACTCTGAAGGGAACTATGAGCAATCTCTAATGATAATGGCATAGATCTACAAACTGAATTATAGAAAATAAATACATTGAATTTTTTAAATCTGATATTGGTGAGAGTAAACAGCTGGTTAACTCCAAGGAAAGGATAATTTTCCATGTTAAATGTTATTTAACATAAAATTTACTGTGGTACTATAAGAATCTTTCGTGTTTCTGTAGCAGGTCTAAGTTGGTATCATGTTTTGTTAATTGTGGTAATAGAATTAACCAATAGAAAATGTTGGGTATCTCTGTGTTCGTTTCTATGCTAAAAGCTAACGTTAACAATTCCTTTTTGAGTCTGATACTTAGACCAAAAACAAGCTATCATGTATGTATATATAAGCAGGGTAATTTTAAGTTTTGGAGAAGTAAACAGCAATTACAGGTTTGTTGGAAGTCACATCTTTACTATCTCAGTGACTCAGATGGAGAGAAGGAATATTATTTATTCGTATAATTTACTTATCTTTAGTAAGAGCCCCTGCCTGCTGGGAAAAAGAAAAAAATTGAAACTTGGTCCCAGGTGTGCATTCATACCATTCCTTATCATAATTCTTATTTATTTGAGGTAAACAATCAGCATTGCTGGCATTGTTGCCTCATAATTGCTTCCTCGCTGAGGTTGCAGTTGGAAGTTTAAGGAGAGAGAAACCTGCATGAACTCTTGGCAGTATAATTAAGAAGTTAGGCTGGAAAGATTGAGGTTGCACTCCAGATACTTTCCTTTTCAGCACTGATACTGAGATGGGAGCTGGTAGCTGGTAGCTTTACCATGATATCTGTTGAGGCAGAGGTGAAATGGCCTTGAGAAAACACTGCATATATAGTACATAAGTGAGGAGCTACATAGAGCTTAAGGCAGAGGCTCAGCCAAGAAAAACTAAGGCAGCAGGGAGCCATATCCAAACCTCATTTATCTAAAAAAGAGAACTCTGATCACAAATGCCAGTACCAAGCAACATCAGGATGTCCAGGGACGGTACCACAATAGCAACACTAAAAATCCATTAAACCAACCACTTTGCAATCTGACCGGAGTATTCAGAGAACACTCCAAGGAAGTGAGGACTCAGTTATTTTGCCATTATGAGGTCAGATGATCCCACCTCTCCCTGGATGGGGATAGAATAAAATATGAAAGAGGTTGAACAATTATTTTCCAAAAGATTGAGCATTACCTGAAAAACTGTGTATATTCTCAAAGTAGACTAAGTTTTGAAACAAAAATGACTAAAACATGTTTCCCTCACTCCTTAGCAGGTTCCTTTTCTTATTAGACTCGGTGCCATTTCTATATACATTATAAATGTAACCTCAAATAAATAACAAATAACCCTCTACATAAGGCTCTTGAAAGAAACATGTACACAAGATAATGACAAGCAAAGTCATATTTCATTTTTAGCTAGGAATTTCAAGTCTCAATATAGAAGTCTAGAGAACAGGGCTAAACCTTTCAAAGAAGTTTTCACATAAGTTATGTCTGCTAAAATGACCTAGAACTGTAAATTCTAAGTACCAATTATTTTACCTACATGAAATCCCTAACTTACTGAATGAAAGCATAATAAACATACAGATATATTTTTTTAAACAAGGACTATGAACTTAAAAGAAAATTAAAACAAATGGAAAATAAATACTATCAAACAGGAAAAAAGAGAAAGCATTTTTGCTACTCCTTAGAATGGCATTGGCCTAAGCTAATCGGTCCATGCCTTTCATTAGTCCAGAACTTAGTTTTTCTTAAGGAGAGAAAGGATATAAAGAGAGAGAGAATTATTGCTCAACTTTTCTGTTATGTTTTACAATCATATAAGTAAGAGAGAAGTTGCTAAAACTACACATTTTAAATTCATTTCTAAACCTCACCCCTAGGGGATGCAGGGGGTGGAGGAGGCACTGAAGCTCCAATCTTTGGAAATCCAAAAGATAAAGTGAAACAGGTCTCCTATTATGAGGTATGATAATAAAGACATTTTACAGTGAAAGAGAATTTCCAATCCTTAATGGCTAGAAAGCAAAATAGTTGATTTATGAGAAAGTGACCTGCAAAGTTAATCAGAAAAGGAAAATGTTGTCTGAGTCCATCTGGCTTTTCCCAGGTCCACTATCAGGTGAAATCTAACCTATAGCAATAGCCATCTTTAAAATTATTTTCTATACTCTGTAACCCCATTATCTGATATCTGATAAATTAATAGGACCTAAATATGTATAATTATATCTCAGCCTATATGAAAACACCCATAGTAGTACCTTTTTCAGATGAGGCTTGAAATGAAGGTCTTGAGAGTAGCAATGCTAATTAGGCCTGGTATATTTCAAATTTAGGAAACTGCATTTCCTACTCTAAACCTCTTACAGTTCTGCTTAGATATAATTACCTCTTTGTTTTCTAGTACAATAAATTTGGTACCTTAGATCATCTTTGCCTTCAGATAGATCATCTCTACTAAGAGGTAAATGCTTTTGTTTGTTAGCACATTTCAAAGAAAGAAACTCTATGATAAGTTCTGCTAACTCATTTTCATTCAATCTCAAAATGTCAGGAAATGTTTCCTTCAGTATATTTTATAATTCACATGTTGCAGTGGAAGCAGTTTTCTCATAAGTAGAAATAATGGGCTATTGGTAAGATCATGAAAATTTTTCTATAGTCTCTTTTTTTGAAGATTAAAATACATTTCTTTTTCTCAGCACCACACATACTCTGAATTCTTATATTCTCACCTGATATGCCTACTTCTCAAAATCTACAATTATTTTCTAGATGATCTTTTGAATTCACACTTCCAAAGAGAACTTTCTAGTTCTCTTTGCCAATGAGGATGACAAACTGTAGGCTTTCTCTGTGAAACACCTTGCCTTTTTCTGCCACTAGATATGTGTAGAAATCAACTAAAATTGTGTGGACATGAACAATTCTCACATTATTGGAATTAGCTCGTTTTCATAGGTCTTGCAAAGCCTCTTATAAATGGAAGTGAAGGGACAGCTTTCCTTCCATGTCCTGTCTTAGCATGTTGTAATGAAATAATAAGAAGTTTTAGATAAAGTTATACAATATTTGCACATATAAGGTTGGTGGAATCCTAGATCCTAGTTAATATTTGCACATGTAAGGTTGGTGGAGTCCTAGATCCTGGTTCTTTATAGTGTTCTGAGAAGAATTTAAATATATTAGAGGCAGAAAGACTCTAGCCAAGTTTCCAATTACCAGCAGAGACACGGGGCTATTTAGGGATTGAGACTAGATTACTTTCTTTAAGGGAACAGATTACAGGGATTGCTAGATATTTACTCCCTGTTCATATTATTATGGTATTGTGATGGGATGTTGCAAAGGGTAGGAAAATTCTCTTCAATATTCTGGCAAATTGAAATATACATATACTCTAATTCCATCAGTGAGAACTTATTTGTACTTCTGTGATTTTCATTAAAAAGCCAATAATTGACTTTTAGTTCTAAATATGGCAGAGTAACCAGCAGACTTTCCCTCCTGCCAAAAATGCCTAAAAACCTGTATAAGGCACTGAACAAGAGGCAGCAAAGAGTAGTAATCCTTGAGAAAACGAAAACTCACAAACAGAAACCCAGAATCACACTAGTATTTTGCCAAGGGACACTTTATATTGTAACAGGAGGTTGTGGAGCCTAAATGGATCAGTGATCTTGCCCAGGTTAACAAGTCAGAGGTCAGAGCTCTGGGCTGTTCAAGTGGTTACACATAATGGGGGACACAGAAGCTGGCATGGGAATGCACATGGGTCTTTAGCTGGGGTAAAATAAAGACGTTTAGATACATGCTGAGAGAATTCACCAGCTGATCTGCACTACCAGAAATGCTAAAGACCGTTTTCAAGGCTGAAGAGAAATTAAGCCAAATAGAAAACCATATCCACACAAAGGAAAGAAAAGCACTGGAGATTCTGCACTGCTGGGTAAATACGTAAGACTATCATTCTGATTTCTTCTCTTAGTATTCTAAACGGGGGACTTGTTAAAGCAAAAACAATAATATTTTAATTTGAGTTTTTTTATGGATACAAAGCTCATTTACTTCCCACGTCCTCCCATACCAGTTCTAAACATACACTTCTCCTGAACACTCTTGTGTCTAACAGACGGAAGTCTGCATTGCAGCTCTGCAGCTGCCCTTTTGGGAATTTCCTGAATTCCTGGCCCTCCAGATGTTTCCATGTGATGTAAATGATCCTAGAGTATTTTGGTAGGAATAGGACTGAAAGTATTTTAAAAAATACTAACCACAAAGGAGAACTTATCTTAAGGTTAAGTACAGATGGCATGCACTTATTTAAGCATCATAGCTTCATGTTTTATTTTTGTTTTTCATTTTATTTTGTTTACTTAACTGTAGCCTTTAGCTTTGAAGATACTTGTTGAAAAGAGAAAGTCTCTTATTTTCTTCAATATCTCATTCTGTTTGCTATTATAATATGAAAAATTGTGTTTAAAGAGAAGAGATACTATTGGAGAAATACAACACAGTTCAGTTATCTAAAATAATACTGAACATTGTGAGAACATTTCAGTGTTTACAGATATGTTTCTCTCTTATTCTCACAGAAAGGAAATATCATAGTATCACTATTATTCTTTGATTTGTTTCATCTATAAAGTTACTAATTAAGCACCTACGATGTACTTAATAAAATGTGACAGTGTTCCTTTCTTTTGTTTCTTTTTTTCTTTTCTTTGGAAGGTGAGGGTAGCTGACCAGTAGTCTGAACTCTATCTATGGTTAGAATCCAGAAGCAATAATGTGCATTCTCTTTGTTTTATTTCACTGAGTTTTGGATTTTGTCTTTTTTGGAAGGCAAAGAGCATGTAACAATTTTCTAGCCCTCAGTGAGTCTTAGTTGTGAATTCATTGCACTTGTTGCAATATGACAATACATGACGTTCAAAGATGCTAGTTTAAGATGACACATTGTAACCATTTACAGGACTTTAAAACTAATAAGTATATGCAAAAACAACAACAGAAAATCAAAAAAACTCATGAAATCCAAATTTTTTAGGATTAGATCAATTATTCTATGGTATGACTAAAGACTGATTATAGATTTTGTATTTTATATGCCACGAAAAAAACAAAAATATGCCTTAACTAATTAAAGTTATGACCTATAACTTCAATTATACTGTGTTCAATAAAATTGTGTATTTTATGTTTCCTTTACCAGTTTTTCATTGTCAATATCTTTATTTTGAAACATTTGTTAAGGCCTATTTTATAGCTAATATGTCCAAGTTCTAATTTTCTCTCCAGGCTTCTAAATCTGTATTTTTCCCTTTCATTTTCCTCTTCTCTTAAGGTCTATCTGTGTGTATATTTCAGAATCGCATTAGATGGCCCTTTAAGAAAGTCTATGGAAAGTGAGGGTCTATTTTACATCATAGGGAGGTTTAACATACAGGACTTGAAGTCTCAACTCAGCAGAAAAGCATTCTATTCTAGACCAATCTATACTGTTTCAGAAAATATTTATCAATTAGAGTTATTCTATTTAATGAGCGTATATGCCAAGTTCTGTTGAATAAGATGAAGCATTTTTGTTTAGCAACACTTGGAGATTATACCATTGCTCTCAATTAGGTGAGCAGGTAGACAAGCATTCAAACTTTTCCCATATAAAATTTAGGATGTTCACAATATATTGGTTGATTATTTCTCAAAAGGTATTTAATAGTGGCTTTCTAATCCTAACTTTAAAACTTCTAATTCATTCTAATTTTATAGCCATATGACTAAAATATAATTATTCCCATGGCAGAAATCTAATGTCAACAAGGTAAAAATAGAGTGTAAACCATATTGCTTCTTTTCCAGTTGAAATACCTTCACATTGATAATACAGGCAGCACTGAAAATAGAAATAATTAATCCTTCTGAGTATAGAATTTGAAACAAAATGAGAATTCATTGATGTCTTTATCAGAATTCTAATAGTTGATCTGGCATGTCTCTGGACTCACAAAAATATTCCAGCAGCAAAAATAAACAAACAATTATCTCAGAATGGGAATACTTTCAGTAGAGGAATGATTTTTATTTAAACCTGACTCTCCACACAAACTTACTAGCAGAGTTCTTGCTCCTTATTATAAGACAACAATATGCTCAAGAAAAATATTTCTAATGAGATGGTGATATGTTCATCCAGTTTAATATTTACATGTAATTATCTTCCCTCATACTGTTTGGTAAGTAGTTCTTGATCTTTTACTGCTATGTCCAAGAGTTAAGATTTTTTTTTCTCTCCATAGCTTTATGTTTAGAATTGGATATTGATTTTGCCTAGCAAGAAATTTATGGCTTAATTTTAAAGCCTTTGATTCTTCAAAAGGACTAAAAACTAAGGTTAGCCACATTCATTGAAAATGAAATGCAGGGTTGCACAGGCAGATGTAGCAATTTTGTAAAGAATATCTTCCCATTGTTCAATTTCAGTAAAAAAATCCAGTAATAATTATAGGTTGTTCATAGCCACCTTACAAATATCACTCTGGTATTACAAAGATCAGTGGAAGACACAAGAACTTATGAATCCGGAAATATAAACTTGTCAGGAAAAATACAGTGGGGGCAATATATAGTAATATGCATGATAACGAAACTAGTGTTTTTCAAACTGTTATGAGTGGGACCATGTATCAAAATAACGTGATCCAAAATATATTCATAATTATTAAAAAATATTAATCCATTTTAATTGTATTTTCACCCATTCAAAGTTTGTAAGATTAAACAATACACTTCTGAAGTAAACAATTTAATTCAATGATCGCATCTTTAGAGTTGCCCAGGCTTAAATGTAGATTAATAAAAGTTATCAGCATGTTCTAGAAGGCAGTGTAAAATAAGCACTGGAGCTCTGACACCAGGCTGACCATATTCATATCCTGGTTTTTCGAAGTGCCAGCTGTATGATGTTGCACAAGTCAGTTAATTTTGATAAACTACAGTTTCTACATCTATAAAGTAAAGATAAAGTATGACTTTTCATAGTGTTATCATGAGGCCTAAGTCAATTGATATGTATATGTATGAAATATTTAGCAAAGAACCTGGCATATAACAATGGCAAATGAATGTTAGCTATTTCTGCTTCTTAGAAAATTGTCTACCTTTGATTTTGAAACGCATTTTTGTACAAGATGGAATGAGAAAGATGAAGCTTCTAAGGACAATGCCCCAATGTTTTGCTGTGCTCACAAACATTAACATCTGTTTCTTATGTTTTTCTTTTCCACATTTGTCCTGTTTTCTTGGCCATCACTAATTAACTAGTCCTAGTTTTTCACTGTTAGTTCATCTCAATACAATCATTCTTTTCTATCTTCACTAATCTTAATTTCATCTTATAGAATTTTATTTCCATTTTGTAGGTTATATAGTTCATCTTTTATTTTTTCTTGCATCGTTTCTCAGAATTCTTATTCTTACTTGTAAATGAAATTATGATTATGTTAATAAGTATTAAAACTCACATGTACTTCTTGAAAAATGTTTGAATGAATTTCAAATTGTTTCTTAAAACATTCCGTGTTTGGTATTGAGTTTAAAATTTATTTAGGAAACTCTCAGTTTTCACTTCATTTAATTTGAGAATTCAGTTAGCTATATAGTTTTAACTTTGTTATTTTCCTATTAGATTGGCTGTTTTAGCATTATAGAGTACCTTCTTTGTCTCTAATTAGAATTTTTGTATTAAAGTTTATTTTGTCTGATATTAGTGTAGCCACTCCAGCTCTCTTTGGTTTCTGTGGGAAGTCATCTGTTTATCTTATTGAAGGTCCCTTGTACACTATGGAAAATTTTTCTTTCACTGGTTTCATTATTTTCTCTTTCAGTAATTTAACTATGATGTGTCCAAATGTGGATCTCCTTGAACTGATCCTACTTGTGTGAAGTAGGTTCACTAATAACCAGTTGTAATGGAGATCTATCACTCCATAGAGAATAACAGAGATTATCACCATGCCAACCACCAGAAATAAGAGTCCAAATATTTCTGTCCACTGCATCCTTAGCTACAGTGTTACCAATTTCTGAGTCCAGTGAATCAGAACACACTCAGAGTCAACAAGTTATATAAAAAGGGTTTAGTGTTTACAGAGATGTAGCAAGGGACAAGGGAAGCCTAGGATCTGTTGTGAGTTGATCCTCCAAAGCTCAAGAAAGCTGCCTTGGGCAGACTGAGTCTTAACTAAACCACTTGCACCAGAGCTGAGGGACCCTAAAAGGTAGTCTGCCCTGGCTTATAAAATTTAGGGGCCGTGTGACTCACTGGATGTGCTTTGAAGGGCATCCCACTTCCAGGGAAGAGAGAAACAAGTCCCAAGCTGTCCTGGGGTGTTCCTTTTTAGCTCTCTTTATTACTTTTCTCAGGAGAACAGGAACAGGACCCTACACTGTTTCAGGCAGTTTCTCCCTATCTCAAGATATCCCATTCTTTTGTCAGATGAATAGATTGCAAAAATTTTCTCCCATTCTGTAGGTTGTCTGTTTTCTCTGTTGATAGTTTATTTTGCTATGCAGAACCACTTTAGTTTAATTAGATCCCATTTGTCAAGTTTTGCTTTTGTTGCAGTTGCTCTTGCTGTCATCCTCATAAAACATTTGTCCATGCCTATGCTTTGAATGGTATTGCCTCGATTTTCTTCTAGGGTTTTTATAGTTTTGGGTTTTATATTTAAGTCTTTAATTCCATCTTGACTTGATTTTTGTACATGGCATAAGGAAGAGGTCCAGTTTCAATTTTCTGTATATGGCTAGCCAGTTCTCCCAGCACCACTTATTAAATAGGGAATCCTTTCCTCATTGCTTGTTTTTGTCAGGTTTGTTGAAGATCAGATGACAAAGGTCTAATATCCAGCATCTACAAGGAGCTTAAACAAATGTACAAGAAGAAAACCAAACAATCCCATTAAGAAGTGGGGAAAGGACATAAACAGACACTTCTCAAAAGAAGACATACATGTGGCCAACAAGTGTGAAAAAAACTCACCATAACTAATCATTAGAAAAATACAAATCAAAACAACAATGAGATACCATCTTACAACAGTCAGAATGGTGATTATTAAAATGTGAAAAAATAACAGGAATGCTTTTACACTGTTGCTGAGAGTGTAAATTAGTTCAACCATTGTGGAAGACAATGTGGTGATTCCTGAAATAATCTAGAGGCAGAAATACCATGTGACCTAGCAATTCTATTACTGGGTATATATGCAAAGGAATATAAATTGTTCTACTATAAAGATATGTGTATGTATATATTCATTGCAGCACTAGTCACACTAGCAAAGACATGGAATCAACCTGAATGATAGACTGAATAAAGAAAATGTAGTACATATACACCATTGAATATTATGCAGCTTTAAAAAGGAATGACACCATGTCTAGCTCCATGGATGGAGCTAGAGGCTTTTATCCTCAGCAAACCAATGTAGAAACAGAAAACTAAATACGCATGTCCTTACTTATAAGTGGGAGCTGAATGATGAGAACACATAGACACATGGGGGAACAACACACACTGAGGCCTGTCAGAAGGTGGGGAGTGAGAGGAGGGAGACCATCAGGAAGAATAACTAGTGGATGCTGGGCTTAATATCTAGATGATGGGATGATCTGTGCAGCAAATCACCATGGCACACATCTACCTATGTAACAAACCTGGACATGCTTCACATGTACCCCTTAACGAATAATAAACTTTGGAAATGAAAAAAAAGAAAAGAGATCCCATTCCTAGCATATTCTACAGTTAATCTTGGGAACCACAAACATGAAACGGGGGAGAACTGGGTAAGTTCAAGATCACCAAAAGAACTGTCCTCCAACTTGGTTTATGTTGAAATTCTGGGATGCATAGAATATTTTTTTTAATCTGGACAATTTTCAACAATTTATTTCTTCAAAGATTCTTTCTACCTTTTATCTCTCTACTCTTCCTATGAGTCTACTACTATTTGTATATTCATAAGCTTGATGCTGTCTCATAGGTTATTGAGGTCTGTTTATTTTTCTTTGTGCTTTTTTGTTTCTGTTCCTCAGGCTAGATTTTGTCATTTGAACTATCTTCAGGCTGACTAAGTCTTACTTCTGTCAATTCACATGTGTTGAAGTCCTTTAGAAAAATTTTTATTCAAGTTTTTGTATTTTTTTATCCATAGAATTTCCATTGGTTTCTTTTATTATTTCTATCTGTTTATTGATGCTGTTCATTTGGTAAGATCTCATTCTCATACTTTTTTTCTTTAATGTTTCAGACATGATTCCTTTTAGTTCGTTAGCTATATTTTTAATAGGCAATTTAAAGTCTTTGTCTAGTAAGTCTATCATTTAAGCTCTTAAAACACAGTTTGAATTCACTTCACACTTTCCACTTCTGTACATGAATCATGCTTCCCTGTTTGCAAATCTACATAGTTATGATACTGATGCATTTTAAGTCTATTTCACAGAAATATCTTATTTCTGAGAAATATTTTCAGTTTTGTCAAGTTTGTCAAAGGTATATAAATGAAACTAGACATTTTAACATCAAGCTAATACAATTTTTATAAATTCTTATTTTTAAGACATTATATTGCTATTTCCAAGGACAAACATAATATTTATAAATTGTTTTTCACTTCCTAAGTTTTCTATGTTATTTTAATGTTTTCAATTCTGTATGTATGCATTCCATAGATTGCCAATCTAATTAAAAATTAAAACTGTAAAATGTTTGAAAAAATGATTATATTTTTCCCCACCGTTTGTTGCCTTATTATTTAAAAAGAAAAACACAGTCGAAAATTGGTATACTATTCTGTAGTGAATAATTTCACTCAATCAGTGTGTCCATTTATAAAATATATATTATTTCCATCAATAGTTCTGAAAACCTATTTTCATCATTCTAAATAAAAGTATATTTTCACTTCATTTATTTATCCATCCCAAGGCAAATATTTATGGTGGAGACTGGTTGGAATGGTTTTCTCATTTCCTACTGATCTAGAATGTGCCAAATATTAAAGAGGAAAACTTTGGTTGAATGGCCATATTACAAAAAGTTAAAGTGGAAAGAGGAATTCTCCTTGAGCATTGCCCTCTAAAGAGTTCCTTCAAAAGCTTGTTGAAGGAAATCCCAAGCTTGATTGTTTGGAAATCTAAATTATACTTATTTCCATTAAAACTCCATTCAAGTCCATTTAATTTATTCACAGATAAACAAAATGCCCTTTATTGCACTGCATGTAGTTTTGACAGATGGCTCTTAGCATTCTGTCCAGGTGTAAAAAGACAAGATAAATGAACCTGTTCTTTTTATTCACACACTTTGTGACTTTCATCTTCACCTGAAAGCTTTCTTTGGTTCTTTGTCTACTTCAAGTTCCCAATAAATGACAGCACTCTTTCTAGTAAGAGCTTGCTTCATTATAAATCTAAAGAGAAAGTACCCCTGCTTGAAATAATCAGTTTGTGAACTCACCAATCAAGCAAATTACTCATATCAAAATTTCAAACATATTATTATTATTTAGTTTATTAGAATTGTCTAATGAGAACACTTGGATGCAGGGTGGGGAACATCACACACCAGGGCCTGTCGTGGAGTTGGGGGAGGGGGGAGGGGGGAGGGATAGCATTAGAAGATATACCTAATGTAAATGACAAGTTAACAGGTGCAGAACATCAACATGGCACATGTATACATATATAAAAAACCTGCACGTTGTGCACATGTACCCTAGAACTTAAAGTATAATTAAAAAATAAATAAATAAAAAAGAAAGAATTGCCTTAAATGCATATTAATCCATTAGATTTATCTATGCATGGATTATCTATAATAGAGGGTAGGATGGTTAAGGCTTTAGACATTATTTTTTAAGTGCTTAATAAATGTCCATCATCCAATGTGAAGCAAAATTAAAGTTAGGCTAAATAACTGAAATTACTTTTAATTTTATGTTTCTTGTTTATTGCATTAAGTTGTGAAAGGTTGAAACATTGAACATAAAGTCAAATTATACTAAGCTATTATTGCTAAAGATGTTTAGAGAAGTTTTATAATATTGTTTCAAAAAACTCAGTAAATTTTAATTTATAATTTATTATATTATTTATAATAGAAAAACCCTAATTAGTTTTCAATAAAATTGATATAATGATGTGAAAATATTTAATTTCAATGCATTAAAAAGCACATAAACAATGGAATCTTAAGATATTGGCCCCAACATTCACATAACCATCTGAAAAATGAAAATTAATTATTTATTTTATGGTGAAAAAATAAACTAGTCCTTATCATTTACTTTAGGGGCAGAAATTTATTATGCAGTATGTGTCAATTAACCATGAGGCTATGTTCTGAGAGATGTAAAATTAAGTGATTTTGTTATTGTGGGAATGCTATAGAGTATACTTACACAAACCTAGATAGATAGATAGAATATATTTTAAATTTATATATATTCCTTCAGCTGAAATCTCAAATGACTCAGCATTATTAATTAATATAAATCAAATCCTCTACTTGATCTGCAGTGCCAATATCAAGTGCCATATATCAGCTTTCTATATATGCTCCATTGTAATCTTATGGGACCACCAACATATAAGGTTGGTCCTTGACTTAAGAAATGTCCTTATATGGCACATGACTGTAGTTCAATTTTTAGTGGTTTAAAAAGCAAAGCAATCTTATATTGGAAAAGCCAACTATCATTTGCTTTTGTTTTTTTTTTTTTTGAGACAGGGTCTCACTCTGTCACTGGGGCTGGAGTGCAGTGGCATGCTCATAGATCACTGCAGCCTCAACCTCTGGGGCCCAAGTGATCCTTCTGCCTCAGCCTCCCAAGTAGTTGGAACTACAGAGGTGCACCACAGCTAATTTTTGTTTTTTTTGTAGACACGGTTTCACCATGTTGCCCAGGCTGGTCTCGAACTCCTGGGCTCAAGCACTCCTCCAAAATCAGCTTCCCAAAGCACTAGGATTACAGGAATGAGCCACCACATCCAGCCTCATTTTTTAAAAAAAATATTTACTTTATACTTATCCAATTAATTAAATGAAATCCCATATCACTAAGAAAGTCATTTTGCAAATGTGATCCTTTGACCCATTAGAGTAGTCTTGATCCTTTCAGGTAGTTGTGAGGTGAAATTCTTTTCAAAATAGGACTAGACATTATTTTATATTTGCCTTTTCACTGTGTTGACATTTACACTGATTGCAAAAGAACTGATGGTAAGTAAAATTACATGTGCCTTAGCAGAAATTAAATCAGTGTCACTAAACTATAATATATATATATATATACACACTTATGCACATATATATATACATGTATTATATATATATATATATATGCATACACATACCACAGTTTGTTTACCCATCATCTGTTGAAGGACATCTGAGTTATTTCAAGTTTTGTGTATTACAAATAAAGTTTTTATGAACATTTGCATTAAAGTGTTTTTGTGAACAGATTTCATTACTCTGGGACAAATGTCCAAAGGTGTGCCTACTGAGTAGTATAATTATTGCATATTTAATTTTAAGATAAATTGTCATAATTTTCCCAGAGTGGCTGTACCAGTTTATATCCCCACCCAAAATATATGAAAGATCCAGTTTCTCCACATCCTTGCCAGAATTTTGTTGTTATTATTACTTTTTATTTTAGCCTTTTTGATAGATATGTAGTAATATCTCATGATTTTTATTTGCATTTTCCTCATGGCTAATGATGTTGAACATTTTTTAAACGTTCATTTACCATCTGTAAATCCTTTATGGTGAAATGTCTGTTAATGTCTTTTGCTCATTTTCTAATTGGATTGTCTTTTATTGTTCAGTTTTAGGAATTTTTTTTATGTATACCACAAAAGTACCCTCTGTTGGATACTTAGTTTGCAAATACTTTCTCCCCATTCATACCTTGTCTTTATTCCTCTTCACATGAAAGTTTGCACAGCCAAATATTTTAATTTTGATAATATCTAACATACAGTTTTTTTTAATTTCATGGGTTGAGGTGTTAGTGTCAAATCTAATAATTCTTTACCTAAACCTGAATCCCAGAAGTTTTCCATTCCTAGCTTTTCTTCAGTATTTATAGTATTAACAATTACATGTAAGTCTGCAATCCATTTTGAGCTAAGTTAAATAAATGTTGTGAGATTTAGATCAAAGTTTTTTTTTCCTTCTTTTCTTTGGATGTCAGATTGTTCCAAAATCATTTGTCAAGAATACTTTTTTTGTCTATTGAATATTGTTTGCAACCTTGTCAAAAATCAATTTGATGTGTTTGTGCTAGTCTATGTCTGGCTTTTGTGTTCTGTACCATGTGTCTACGTGTCTCCATAGACAATGCCACATTGTCTTGATTTCTTTTTCTTGCCTTATTGCAGTGGCTAGACTTTCCATAGTGTGTTGAATGAGAGTAGTGATATCAGACATTCTTACCTTGTTCTGGATATTATGTGGAAAATATTCAATTTTCCATGATTAAGTATGATGCTAGCTGCAGGTTTGATGTAATTTTACTGTATTCCTATTTCCTCAATTTCCTCTATTCTTAACATGATAGGTTAACAGTTACTGAATTTTGTTAATGCTTTCTTCTACCTCAGTTGTCACATGATTTCTTTTTTACTTTAGCATGTTGATATGGTGCATACAATATATTTATTTTGTAGACATTGAAACTGCTATGCATATCTGCAATAAATTCTACTTAGTCATGATGCATAAATTTTTTATACATTATTGGATTTGCATTGCTAATTTTACTGATAATTTCTGAATATAGACTTATGAGTACTTTCAATCTGTAGTTTGGTTTTTTGTACCACCTTTGCATCAGAATTACATTGGCTTCATCACATGAGTTATGAAATTTTCCTTACTTTTCTATTCTGGGAAAATATTGCATAAAATCACTATTAATTCTTTTTTATGTGTTTGTCACAATTCTCCAGTGAAATTATGTGGGCCTAGAGATTTCTCTTTCTTGAGTCACAATTACAAATTCAATTTTTTTTTCTCTTTTCTTTTGGAGATAGAGCCTTGCTCTGTCTCCCAAGTTGGAGTGCAGTGGCACAGTCTTCACTCACTGCAGCCTCTAACTTCTGGGCTCAAGTTATCCTGCCATCTCAGACTCCTGAGTACCTGGGACTACAGGTGCATGACATCATACCCGGATTAAATTCAATTCATTTAACACTTACAGGACTATCCATATTGTCTATTTCATTTTGGTTGCATTTTGATTCTTTGTGGCTTTTCAGATATTTGCCCATTAATTCTAAGTTAAAATTAATGAGTGCAATTATATAGTGTTCTCTGAGCCTTTGATGCCTACAAGATTTCTCCCCCCCAAGATGGAGTTTTGCTCTGTCACCCAGGCTACAGTACAGTGGCATGATCTCGGCTCACTGCAACCTCTGCCTCCTGGGTTCAAGCGATTCTCCTTCCTCAGCCTCCCAAGTAGCTGGAATTACAGGGATGTGCCACCACACTGGCTAATTTTTGTATTTTTAGTAGAGAAGGGGTTTCACTATGTTGTCCACGATGGTCTCGATCTCCTGACCTCATGATCCACCCGCCTCGGCCTCCCAAAGTGCTGGGATTATAGGTGTGAGCCACCGTGCCAGGCCTCCTTCTTCTATTTTGGTCAGTTTTGCAGGAGGTTAATCATTTTACTGATATTTGTAAAGACTAGCTTTTTGTTTCATTGATATATCTTGGTACTTTTTTCTGTTTTCAATTTTATTGATTTCTGCTCATTATAATTTTATTCCTTTGCCTGTTTTGAGTAAATTTTTCTTCTTTTTCTGTTCTTTTGAGGTAGGAGCATATATTTTGACTTGCCATGTTTCTTAATTTTATTGTGGAATTTATAGCATTCATTACTTTTCCCTTTTAATGCTGCTTTAGCTGCATCCCATAAATTTTGATATGTTGTATTTTTATTCACTTGTATTTATTTTTTATTCATGCCTTTTTGATTGATCTATGGATTGTTTGGATGTGTCTTGTTTGATTGTTAAATGTTTAGAGATTTGTTGTCTTTCTGGTATTGATGTCTAATTTGATTCTTTTATGGTCAAAGAACACACATTATGATCTCAATTATTTTATGTTTGTTGAAGTTTTTATGGACCATGAAATAGTCTATCTTGGCAAATATTCCCTCAGTTCTTAAAATATATGTATATACTGCTATTGTTTGATAGATTGTTCCATATATGTCCATTAGATATTCTTGATTGATTACGTTATTCTGATCTATATTGTTGCTCATTTTTTTGTGTAGTGTCTCTATCAGGTGCTGAGAGGAAGCTTTTTATGTCCACAGCTACAGTTGTGTATTTGCTTATTTTTTCTTTTACCTCTGCTAGTTTTTGCTTCATACGTTTGGAGATTTTATTGTTTAGTTTGCAGGGACTTAGGATTTTTATGTATTTCTTTATTGTCATGATGAAATAACTCTCTTAGGCTCTAGTAATTCTTTTTGTTTTAATGTGTATTTTATCATATTCTACTTACCTTTCCTTTTTAATTAATAAATTAATTAACCTAAACTAATTTAATGAATTAATTCAATTAATGCTTACATGTAATGTGGTCTTCCATTCTTTTACTTTCAAACTACATATGTTAAATCTGAAGTGAGTTTCATATACACAGCATATACTTGCATCATAATTTTTAGAGACTATGACAATCTATTTTTCTATTGGTATATTTTCAGCGTTTACATCAGGCAATTATTGATGTGTCAACTCCTAACTCTACCATCTTACTTGTTTTTTGTTACTTGTTATTTTATTTTATTTTATTTTATTTTATTTTATTTTATTTTATTTTATTTTATTTTTGAGATGGAGTTTCACTCTTGTTGCCCAGGCTAGAGTTCAATGGTGTGATATCAGCTCACTGCAACCTCCGCCTCCCAGGTTCAAGCGATTCTCCTGCCTCAGCCTCCCTAGTAGCTGGAATTACAGGCATGTGACACCACACCTGGCTAATTTTGTATTTTTAGTAGAGATGGGGTTTCTCCATGTTTGTCAGGCTGGTCTCGAATTCCCAAACTCAGGTGATCCACCCGCCTTGGCCTCCCAAAATGCTGGGATTACAGGCTTGAGCCACCGTGCCCGGCTACTTTGTTTGTTTACTGCTTATTTCTTCTGGTACTCTCTTCTCTTTTTCTTTTTTCCTGACATCATGTTTGTTACTTAAACATTTTTTAGATCTCATTTTGACTTATTTATAGTGTTTTCAAGTGTATTTTTCCATAATTTTCATAGTGTTTGCTGTAGATATTATTATATATGTATGTGACATCATAGTCTATTGTTTTCAACATTTTATCACTTCTAGTATAGTATGAAAATTTTACTTCAGTTTGGGAGTTTAGGTCATTTTACCTTCCCCACTTTTAAATATCATCTTAAGTATTATAAAATATGTGATTTTTAGTAACTAGCTACTTTTTCTTAGCATAATGTTTTCAAAGGGCATTCATGTTCAGAGTGATAACCTATTGCTTATCAGTTATAGGTTGAGCATCTCTACTTCAAAAATCAAAGATCTGAAGTGCTCTAAAATCAGAAATTTTTTGAGCACCAACAGGAGATAGTGACACATTTACTTTTTGATAGTTCAATGTATACAAACTTTGTTTCAAAATTTGAATGGACAAAATTACTTAACATATTGTATACAGTTACCTTCAAATGTTGTGTATAAGGTGTTTATGAAATTTTGTGTTTAGATTTGTGACACATTCCCAAGATATGTCATTCTTTATATGCAAATATTCCAAAAATTTTAAAAAAAGGAATTCAAAACACTTCTGGTCCCAAGCATTTTGGATAAAAAAATCATCAACCAGTACTTTATTCTTTATATTTTCAAATAATACTCCATGGAATGTGTATCAGATGGGATTATTCAGTGAACAGAGAAACAGAATCAATAGGCTATCTCTATATAAATATGGATATGGAGTATATAGAGATATATGGGATTCTACCTCTGTTTTTATTATTAAGACCTTCAAGTGATTGGATGAGGCCTACCAAAATTATGGACACTCATCTGCTTTATTTAAAATCAACTGATCAAAAATGTTAATTACATGTACAAAATAACTTTCACAGACACATCTAGACCAGTGTTTGACTAAATAACTGGGCCCCAGTACCTACCCAAACTGCCATGTAAATTAACCCACATTTGGTCATCCATTCCTCAGTTAATGGACATTTGTGTTGTTTCTACTTTTTGGCTATTATGAATAAAGCTATTATGAACATTTGTAGCCACTTTCTAATGTTGACATATATTTTTCTTTATCTTGGAAAGAAATTCTTAGGAGAGGAATGGTTGTGTTATGTGGTAATTCTCTGTTTAACATTTTGTGCATCTGCCAAATTGTTTTCTAAAGTGATGGTATCACTTTACATTACCACCTGCAATATGTGAGGATTCCAATTTCTCCACATCCTCACCAACAGTCCTTATTATGAATCTTTTTTAATCACTGTCATCCCAGTGGCTGTAAAATGGTTTCTCACTATTGTGTTGATTTGCATTTTCCTAATGACTAATAATATTGAGCATTCTTAGATGTGAATGTTGGCTATTCATGTTTCTTTGGAGAAATGTCTATTTAAACTTTTGCTCAGTTTTAATTGGTTGCTCTCATTATTGATTTGTGAGATTGCCTTATATATTTTAGAAAAAAGTTCTTTTTCTAATATATGATGTTTAAATATTTTCTTACCTACTCTGGATTTTTATTACTATTATTTTCAGGTGTGGTACCAGGAATAATGTGGGAGGCTGGATTGAAGTCTGGGCCAGGAACAACGGTAATTGTGGGAGACTCAACAAAGAGTGAGTATAGCTGAAGGAGCCGGGAAGCAGAAAGTATATGCGTCAGTTACTTCAGGCCATCTGGGCCTATACGTGCAAGTCACAGGGGATGCGATGGCTTGGCTTGGGCTCAGAGGCCTGACATTCCTGCCTTCTTATATTAATAAGAAAAATAAAACAAAATAGTGTTGAAGTGTTGGGGCGGCGAAAATTTTTGGGGGGTGGTATGGAGAGAGAATGGGCGATGTTTCTCAGGGCTGCTTCAAGCGGGATTGGGGCGGCGTGGAAACCTAGAGTGGGAGAGATTAAGCTGAAGGGAGGTCTTGTGGTAAGGGGTGATTCTGTGGGGATGTTAGAAGAAACATTTGTCGTATAGAATGATTGGTGATGGCCTGGATATGGTTTTGGATGAATTGAGAAACTAAATGTAATAATGGAAGGAGAAAAACAGGTATAAAAGGTCTAAGAATTGGGACGACTCAGGATATCTGATTAGAGAGTGCTTAAGGAGATTCGGCATAGTCCTGCCAGGAAAGATTATTTATTTACTTCAAGAGTTAAGAGTGGCAGTTTGGGGATAGCACCAGGAGATATCAGCTGTGATGGCTTGGAAAAACAATGTAAACCGGCAGTGTAAACAAGAGCAGGGCATGTATGAGTAGTTGAGAACGGTGAATAGGAGTATGACTAGACAGAAGATAGTAGGGATGACAAGTTTTTTGGGGGCACAGTCTAACTTGGTCTGGTGTCTGGAATGAGACTGGGGCCCAATAAAAAGGAGCGTCTATATAGGAGCTTAAATGGGCTGTACCTTGTAGCATTCTGAGGACAGGTCTGACTTCTGAGAAGGGAAAGTGGTAAAAGTATTGTCCAGTCCTTTTTAGGTTGGTGGCTGAGCTTGGTGAGGTGTGTTTTTAAAAGACCTTTAGTCTATTCTACTTTTCTTGAAGACGGAGGACCGTAAGGGATATAAAGGTTTCACTGAATACTAAGAGCCTGAAAAACTGCTGGCTGATTTGACTAATAAAGGCTCGTCTGTTATCAGACTGTATTGAGGTGGGAAGGCTAAACTGAGGAATTATGTCTGACAGAAGGGAAGAAATGACTGTGGTGGCCTTCTCAGACCCTGTAGGAAAGGCCTCTACCTATCCAGTGAAAGTATCTACCTAGACTAAGAGGTATTTTAGTTATCTGACTCAGGGCATGTTGAGTAAAGCTAATTTGCCAGTCCTGGGTGGGGCAAATCCTCGAGCTTGATGTGTAGGGAAGGGAGGGGGCCTGAATAATCCCTGAGGAGTAGTAGAATAGCAGATGGAACACTGAGAAGTTATTTCCTTGAGGATAGATTTCCACGATGGAAAGGAAATGAGAGGTTCTAAGAGGCGGGCTAGTGGCTTGTACTATAGCATAACCTGCCTTTGCTGGTGTGTGGCGATTAGGTCTGGTGGAACTGCCATCAATAAATCAAGCGTGATCAGGGTGAGGAACAGGAAAGAAGGAAATTTGGGGAAATGGGGTGAATGTCAGGTGGATCCGAGAGATACAGTCATGGGGATCAGGTGTGGTACCAGGAATAATGTGGGAGGCCAGATTGAAGTCTGGGCCAGGAACAACGGTAATTGTGGGAGACTCAACAAAGAGTGAGTATAGCTGAAGGAGCCGGGAAGCAGAAAGTATATGCATCAGGTATGAGGAAGAAAATAGATTTTGAAAGTTATGAGAAATGTAGGGAGTGAGTTGAGCATAGTTTGTGATTTTGAGGGCCTCTAAAAGTATTAATGCAGCGGCAGCCGCTGCACGCAGACATGAGGGCTAGGCTAAAACAGTAAGGTCAAGTTGTTTGGACAGAAAGGCTACAGGGTGTGGTCCTGGCTCTTGTGTAAGAATTCTGACCATACTAACCATGCCTAGGAAGGAAAGGAGTTGTTGTTTTGTAGAAGGTGCTGGGGTTTGAGAGATCAGTCGGACACGATTGGCAGGGAGAGCACGTGTGTTTTTATGAGAATTATGCCGAGATAGGTAACAGATGAGGAAGAAATTTGGGCTTTATTGAAGTAATGGGGGCTGTCTGTGAAGCTTTGCAGCAGTACAGCCTAGGTAATTTGCTGAGCTTGATGGGTTACAGGGTCAGTCCAAGTGAAAGTGAAGAGAGGCTGGTATTAAGGGTGCAAAGGAATAGTAAAGAAAGCATGTTTGAGATCTAGAACAGAATAATGGGTTATAGAGGCAGGTATTGAGGATAGGAGAGTATATGGGTTTGGCACCACGGGGTGGATAGGCAAAACAATTTGGTTGATAAGGCACAGATCCTGAACTAACTTGTAAGGCTTGTCTGGTTTTAGGACAGGTAAAATGGGGGAATTGTAAGGAGAGTTTATAGGCTTTAAAAGGCCACGCTGTAGCAGGCGAGTGATAACAGGCTTTAATCTTTTTAAAGCATGCTGCGGGATGGGATATTGGCGTTGAGTGGGGTAAGGGTGATTAGGTTTTAATGAGATGGCAAGGGGTGCATGATCGGTCGCCAAGCAGGGAGTAGAGGTATCTTATACTTGTGGGTTAAGGTGGGGGAATACAAGAGGGGGACACAAAGGAGGCTTTGGATTGGGAAGAAGGGAGGCAATGAGATATCGCTGTAGTCCAGGAATAGTCAGGGAAGCAGATAATTTAGTTAAAGTGTCTCAGCCTAATAAGGGAACTGGGCAGGTGGGGATAACTAAAAAGGAGTGCTTAAAAGAGTATTGTCTAAGTTGGGGAGTTTTAAGAGGTTTAGAAGCCTGGCCATCAATACCCACAACAGTTATGGAGGCAAGGGAAACAGGCCCTTGAAAAGAAGGTAATGTGGAGTGGGTAGCCTCCGTATTGATTAAGAACGGGATGGACTTACCTTCCACTGTGAGAGTTACCCAAAACTCAGCGTCACGTCCGTGATGGTCTACGGGGCTTCTGAGGTGATCGGGCAGCGTCAGTCTTCAGCCACTAAGCCGAGAAGGAGTCAGTCAGAGAGCCTTGGGCCAGAGTTCCAGGGGCTCTGGGAGTGGCTGCCAGGTGAGTTGAACAGTCCGATTTTCAGTGGGGTCCCACACAGATGGGACGTGGCTTAGGAGGAATCCCGGGCTGCAGGCATTCCTTGGCCCAGTGGCCAGATTTCCAGCATGTGTAGCAAGCTCCTGGGGGAGGAGGTTCTGGAGGAACGCCTGGCTGCTGTGGTTCAGGCGTTTGGAAGTTCTTGTGTGCTGGAGATGTGGCTGGGGTTTGTCTCACAGTGGAGGCAAGGAATTGCAACTTGTTTCTATTATTGTACACCTTGAAGGCGAGGTTAATTAAATCCTGTTGTGGGGTTTGAGGGCCGGAATTTAATTTTTGGAGTTTTATTTAATGTCGGGAGCAGATTGGGTAATAAAATGTATATTGAGAATAAGACGGCCTTTTGACCTTTTAGGGTCTAGGGCTGTAAAACGTCTCAGGGTTGCTACGGAACGAGCCATGAACTGGGCTGGGTTTTTATATTTGATGAAAAAGAGCCTAAACGCTATCTGATTTGGGATAAAGAAAAAGGAGCATTAACCTTGACTATGCCTTTAGCTCCAGCCACCTTTTTAAGAGTAAATTCCTGGGCAGGTGGGTGAGGGCTAGTCACAGAATGAAACTGTAAGCCAGACCAGGTGTGAGGAGAGGAGGTGATAAAAAGATAACAGGGTGGAGGAGCGGAGGCTGAGGAAGAATTGGGACCTAGCTTGGCCTGGCGAGGAGGGGAGAGGTCAGATGGGTCTGTAGAAAAGGAATATTAGAAAGACTCAGTGACGCTTGGGCTTGGGACTGAGGGGACAGGCGGGAGGGAAAGAAGGAAGATTTGGGACGAGTTGCACTGGGCACAGAGACAAGGAAGGGACCGATGTGTAAAAGAATGCCTGGACATCAGGCACCTCAGACCGGTTGCCTATTTTACGACAAGAATTATTTAGATTTTGCAGGATGGAAAAATTCAAAGTTCCATTTTCTGGCTATGTGGAACTACTGTTGAGTTTGTACTGTGGTCGAGCAGCATTGCAGAAGAAAATAAGGCATTTAGGTTTTAGGTCAGGTGTGAGTTGAAGAGGTTTTAAGTTTTTTGAGAACACAGGCCAAGGGAGTAGAAGGAGGAATGGAGGGTGGAAAGTTGCCCATAGTGAAGGAAGCAAGCCTAGAGAAAAGAGAGAGTAGAGAAACGGAGGGAAGGGGTTCAGGGGTTCTTACCTTCCAGAAAAGTGGGAAAAGGGGTTGGGGCACAGAGATAAGAGGTTGGGGTGCGGAAATAAGGGATTGGGGCACAGAGATAAGAGGTTGGGGTGTGGAAATAAGGGATGGGGCGCAGAGATAAGAGGTTGGGGCATGGACAAAAGGGATTGGGGCACAGAGATAAGAGGTTGGGGTGCGGAAATAAGGGATTGGGGCACAGAGATAAGAGGTTGGGGTGCAGAAATAAGGGATTGGGGCACAGAGATAAGAGGTTGGGGCATGGACATAAGGGATTGGGGGTTCTTGCCCCGTAGAAAAGTGGGACTTGCTGCTAAGGGTGAAGGAGAAGGGGTTGAGGGGTACTTTCCCCTCTCCCAGAAAAGCAGAGAAGGGGTAGAGACAAGGAGAGAAGGGGTTGAGGTACTTGCCCCTTCCCCAGAAAAGCGGGACTTGCTACTAAGGGTGAAGGACCAAGGCAAGCATCCCTGCGCAGTCTGACACCCTTGAAACGTGGGTGTATAATCAGAGAGGTGTCCCTGCAATGATTAAACACCAAGGGAAGGCTGCCTTCCCAGTCCGTGACCGGCGCTGGAGTTTTGGGTCCACGGATAAAACATGTCTCCTTTGTCTCTCCCAGAAAATGAAAGGAATTGAAACTAAGAGAAGGGAGAGATTGAAGAGTGGAAAGGAGAAAGTGGTTGAGGGACAGTGAGAGAGGTTGGAGAAGAGAGTAAGAAGAGGCCACTTACCTGATTTAAAATTGGTGAGATGTTCCTTGGGCTGGTCGGTCTGAGGACCTGAGGTTGTAGGTGGATCTTTCTTACGGAGCAAAGAACAGGAGTACAGGGGATTGATCTCCCAAGGGAGGTCCCCCGATCTGAGTCACGGCACCAAATTTCATGCGCGTCTGTGTGAAGAGACCACCAAACAGGCTTTGTGTGAGCAACATGGCTGTTTATTTCACCTGGGTGCAGGCGGGCTGAGTCCGAAAAGAGAGTCCGCGAAGGGAGATAAGGGTGGGGCCATTTTATAGGATTTGGGTAGGTAAATGAAAATTACAGTCAAAGGGGGTTTGTCCTCTGGCGGGCAGGAGTGGGGGTCGCAAGGTGCTCAGTGGGGGTGCTTTTCGAGCCAGGATGAGCCAGGAAAAGGACTTTCACAAGGTAATGTCATCACTTAAGGCAAGGACCGGCCATTTACACTTCTTTTGTGGTGGAATGTCATCAGCTAAGGTGGGGCAGGGCATATTCACTTCTTTTATGATTCTTCAGTTACTTCAGGCCATCTGGGCGTATACATGCAAGTCACAGGGGATGCGATGGCTTGGCTTGGGCTCAGAGGCCTGACACTATATAATGATTTATCCTAAGATAAACCTAAGAATTATTTTGTTACTGTAAAGCAGAACTGCCTTTGATCTGATTCAAAGGTAGTGATGACTGATGGTCAAAATTTGGTTTATTCTTATTAGATGATTTAATGTCATAGACTCAAAGAACACTGTTGTAGCATTTCTGTGGACTTACATTATATTTCAAATTAGAATGTGCATTTTCAAATGGTGCTATTTTAAATTATGGAAGATAGATAGTTTATAATCGAATGCGGAAGCAGATTGATGCAATTGAAACAGTGCTGGACTGGAAGTTCAGGGTGATTTACCCAGTTGAAATCATTTAAAGCCTTGAACTTTACTTTTCTCATCTGTAAAATAAGGAGATTTGACAAGATAACCCCTGGGATTCTTTAAATCTCCTCACTCATGGTTGTGAATATAGCTTTTATATTTAAAGTTTCTTATTTAAATTGATTCTTCCTCCCGGTCTAATGACATAGTCATGTAAAGCATATCTGTTCTTTTGTTATTCTAAATGCTGTCAGAATGTCTGTCAAGAATCAAAGAGAGAGACAAAAGCTGACATTTACTAATAAATTGCTCTATTGATGAAGAGTTTTCCATTCAAGCAATACTTGAACTCTATGTTACTTCATTGGTGTATTTATAGCTGGGCTTACTTAAAATTCTTGATCAAGCAAAGTATAGCCTTGGGATAGACAGTCTCAGCAAGATGATCAACAATGTTTTGCACCTCATATCTATACATATACACAGAATTTCACTGAAAAACTTTGTTATCCTTCTGTGTTATGCTCCTTATAAAAAGTAGCTAAAAAAATAAACTAAATGCACCTGTGGCCACGTAGAGAAACAAATAGAAACCACAAAAAGGAAAATCAAGTTAAATGACTAGTCTATTAATCAAGCTATTTATCACTTCATTTGCCAAATAAGTCATAATAATACCTGGAAATGAAGATTAAATTAGACAACAAAACTAAACATGTCCTTGTTTTGTGTTTAATTTCTTCCATCTGCAAGGCTCCAAATGGCCATTAAACAACCTCCATTATGTACTGACTCCAATTATCACTGGAAAAATAAACTAGAACAAATTGCTTATACGATTATTATTTATGCAAATATGTAACAAAAGATCTTTTTGCAAGCAACCTATTGCTAATCCTGATTTATGCAACTGCAAAATTATTTGCGTATATCAATACTTTACAAGTCCTGAAAATATCATTGTCTTTCTTGGAACTATCCCTGCTGGAAAATTTCTTGTGTTGCCTTATCATTCTTCAAGAACCAGCTCCAAAGCAATCTTTTTATCCACACATGGTGGCTCACACCTGTAATCCCAGCCCTTTGAGAGTCTGAGGCTGGAGGATTTCCTGACCCTAGAAGTTTGAGTCTAGCCTTGGAAACATGGTGAAATCCCATTTCTACAAAATATAGCCAGGCAGTGTGGTGCGCGCTAGTAGTCTCAGCTACTTGGGAGGCTGAAGTGGGAAAATCTCTTGAACCAGGGAGGTCAAGGCTGCAGTGAGCCATGATCACACCACTGTACTCCAGCCCAGGAGGGAACAGAGTGAGACCCTATCTCAAAAAAAAAAGTCAAATTTTTATAAGACTTTTAAAATCTCTCCCTTCCACCATTACTGGCATAGATTTATTTTGCTCCCAGAGTTTTCTGGTGGTCTGTACACCAGGTGTGTGTATGTATGTATATATATTTTTCTGGTGCTATATATGCCTATTTTATTCTTATTTTACCTCAATTATTTTTCAAAGGTAAATACTGTAAATAGATGATCAGCTCTATTAGGGCAGAGATGTGATATTTTGCTTTCTCATTGTATCTTTGATGCCTGACACACAAAGTGGTAGCAACTCAGTAAATGTGACAAATATGAATAGATACAAACTTTCTTATAATCAGACAACTCTACTCAATAAAGGCTGGTTGATAATTATGAGACTGAGATTTCTAGGGACTTACAAACATGTTTAGACTGGTGAAAAATTTCTGCGAAAGCATAAATAAAAGCACTGGGCCAGCCCATGTCCTATTAAGGGGACCAATTAATCAATAGAACTATAGCAGCTATGGTTAATTTTCTTAACTCTGGTTTGATATCTGAAATTTTGGCTCTGGGTTTTTCATTTTTCTAGATTATCTGCTTTTCATTCTGTGTGTTTATCACTGGTTTTAAGCAGTATGCAGACAGAGATCTGCCAAATTGGGGTAACTTTACTTACTGCCAACTAAAGCTGCTACATTGGAACTAAGATTGCTTTAAAATTCACTAATATCATTCACATTTTACATAAGAGGAATCAGAAAGCATACATAACTTGCCAGTGTTACACACCTTCCACTGGAAGAGCAAATTCAAGTAATGTGAACTCCATGTCCTTCCTTTCACTGTTCCATTTTTTATAAACTGTAATGTATTAAACCAATGCTCTATTAGTGTGCACTAGGTTATTCATTTTCTTTACTATCACAAAAAATACAGTGATTAATGTATATCTTTGCATATATTTTTACTTAAGGGATAAGGAATATTGTGCATACTTATAATATAAATAAGACTACATTGTAACATTTATTAGACTCCATCAATACCAAGTATTATTTTTTTAAATTTTGACAGGTTGCTGGGTGAAAAATTATATGATTATTTCATATAATAATATTTATTGAATTATTTGTGAACTTGGAAATTTAATTATATATATGCCTGTTTAAATAACTCTATTGTGGATAAACTACTCATGTTCTTGTAAATTATTCAATTTTAATATTTACAATTTATTGAAGTATAATTTATATGCCTTATGCTGTATACATTTAAAATATACAATACAATTGGTTTTGATAGAAATATATAACTGTGAAACCACCAAAACAATCAGGAAATACCTATCACTCCTCCAAAGAATCTTCATGCTGGTAGTGGCAGGAGACAGACAAATTCCTAGTCATATAGTGGTGGGTCCCCAGTGAAACCCAAACTTCAAGCCATAGACAGTGTGAAGCTATAAAACCAAGCTGACAGATTTGGGTGGAGTTCACAACCAGAGTGAGAACTTCCTCGATGCCTTTTAGCCAATTGAATGGTGCTTTTTCCAGTCCTGCCCATGAACCAATCAGCATGCACTCCCCCATTCTGAGCACATGAAAACCCTGGACTCAGTCTCACAGAGGATTACCCATTTGGGGACTCCCTCTCACACAGAAAGCTGCTCACTTCGGCTCCTCTGTCATGTTGAGAGCTTTTCTGTCACTCAATAAAATGATTCTCTGCTTTGCACACTCTCAGGTGTCTGCAAACCTCATTCCTCTTGGGCGGGGGACAAGAACCTAGAACCCCTAACCCCCAACTGGCTGTGAAAAGAGCTGTAAAATGCCCTCCTGCTTGCAGAGCTATGGGAGTGAAAAAAACCACTGGGTTTCACATGCCCCCATTCACTGAGCTGCAGGTGGCAGGAATGAATGAGCTTTAATACACCCCTGTCCAGCAAACTGTGGGAGGCTGCGAAAGCTGTAATATGCCCCTGTTTGCCTAGCTGTGGGGGTGAAGAAGCAAAACAGTTAGACACCATTCTCTTCTGGCTGTCTCCCCAAACTACAAAAGCCACAACATTTCTTGTTGGCTCAGACTTTGGGACTTTGACACCCCTTGGGGGACCGCAGTTGCTGGCATCGTCAAGTGTTAGGGCGCCATTGCATTTTTCTCATCTAGACTCTGGCACCCAATGTGAAAACTGCCCGCAGCATGACCAGTCCACCCACGGGCTGAGTGCGGAGTCTCTGTTAAGGCACTGGATCCAGGCCAGGGTGCGAGCCTGGTGGGCCTCAGTGAGGCCCCGGGCAGAGGTCACAGCAGCCACAGAGATTTCCAGCTGGCGAAACACCACCGAAGGAATTCTGTAACAATGCCCCTTTGCAATTCAGCGCTCCATCAGGTAAATACTGATTCCGCTTATGTATGTATTTGTTTGCTATTTTGATTATACACAAATAAGGTATACAACATGTTTTCATATATATATATGCATAGTAAAATAATTACTGCAGTCAGTAACATTAATGTACCCGTCATCATGATTCTGCTTTGTGATATTATTGACTAGTTAACGTGTTTTAGAATTTTAAATGAAGGGAATTATATGAAATGTATGGATTTTAGATCTGAAAATTAACGTTCTATATCAAATGTGGGAAGTTGATGGCCATTATTTAATCAAGTATTCATTCTGCAGATATCTCAGTTCTTCTTCTGAGTTCCTAATTACATAAATGTTGTACTATTTGATGTTGTCCAACAAAACTGAAATCCTGATTATTTCTCTTTAAGTTTTCTTTCTTTTGGGGGAGATTTGTCAACTTATTCATCTACTTTCAAATGCTTTGATTCTTTATTCTGCCATCTCCATTTAGTGGACTAAGGGATTTGAAAAGTGACAAATTACCTCTGTGTAGCACTATTTTTCAAGAGTAGCTTTTTGTCCTCTCTGCCTCCTTCTTTCTTTTTGCCAGGCTCCTTGGAAATCTCACCTCATGCATGTGTATGTTAGCTGTCAGCCAGGGTTTTGGGCAGAGTTTATGCTTGGAATTTGGATCTTATTCCCTTGGCAATTGTCTTACTGACATTTCCCCATTAAATTTCAAGTGGTTTTGAGAGTCCTGAATGCTAATCTATGTCACCTTTAAAGCTGCAGTGTTTCTGCCATCATTTGTCTTCAACTAGAGCCACAGTAGTTTGGCAGCATTATTGGGCCAGAATGCCACAAATATGAAACTATATACAATTTTAATAGAACTAATTTTACTAAAAATGCAATTATTAAATTTTCTTGTATCTAAAAATTTCTAGCCTCCTGTTCCCATAAAATTATAATATTTAAATTAAAAAGTAAAATGTAAAAAGAATCAGTTATAATTTAGATTATTCATTCAATATGTTAACTTTACATATTTTTGATATATTTCTTCTGAACTATTTTTATGTAACCACATAATTTTAAAAAGTTTGGTTTGTTTTTGTTTTTTTGAGACAGGTTCTCACTATCTTGTCCACCCTGGCCTTGAATTTCTGGGCTCAAGCAATCCTCTTGCCTCAGCCTCTGGAGTAGCTGAGAATACAGGGGCACACCACCACAAATGGCTTCAACTATATAAAATTCTAAACATACAATTGAAGCTCATAGTCATACAAATATGTCCTTTCTTTCAGAGTAAGCACCGTACTTCAATCCCACCAATGTTTCCATCCATATTTTATACTTTTATTATGGAAGTTATATAAATGAAAACTTGTTTTTGTCACTCAATATTGTCCTTTTTGGATTTATTCATGTTGAATTAAGGGATTTAATTGATTCACCTAAACACTGACTAGTTTTCTAAGATATGACTAGAGTATAAATTATATATTTGACATTCTATTTGTGTGCATTTGGGCTGGCTTGAAATTTTTGCAAATGCATGCTATGTTTCATTGAACTGTCTTACATGTCTCCTTGTGTATGAGCTAGAAATATTCTTTGGCATGGTGTTTAAGCATCTGGAACCAGAGTAGAAGATTTTATAAACTCTGGATACTTATCCTTTATCAATTACAAACATTTTAGATATACCCTCCCTGTGGCTAATCTTTTTAGCCCTTTTAATCTGTTGACACAAATAGTGTAAAACATGTTTTTGTGGTGTTGCTGTTGTTATTGTTTGCTTATTATACATGTACTTCAAAAGAATGCGTTTTTTATAATTGGCTTCATCCAATGAGACCAGCAGATGCTATGACGAAAGCTGAGAGCAGATAGATGTCAGAGAATTTATTTGTCACTACACTGTCAGCAGCATTCTGTTTCCTCTGGTGATGAGGTTATATTACTGGCTACAGCCACAGCTCTTATAAGACAATGCTTCACTCATAGCTACAGCTCTTGCCAGACACTTTTAAACTTGAAGATTGAATTGGATTCTTGCATTTGCTTAATTTCTAGACACTGCAGTATTCCACAGGGATAGTAGTAATGGAACTGCAAATGGCATATTTACTGATCTCTTTTTAATTAAATTATTGAATATAACAATATTTATTCTTCTGGAAACCTGACAAATGCATTTTTTTTCTTAAGGTATTATATCTACATATATATTCATGAAAGAGAATAGCCTATAATTTCCCTTTCTTTTCTTGTACTAGTATCACAAAATAAATGGCAACGTATTATCAGCTTTGTTTAGATATGACTGCATAAGAGGGTAGTTATTTTTTTCCAAATATGTACGGTTTTCTAATAAAGTCAACGTGATTGGTAGTAGGACTATAGACTACCAAACCAAATCTATACTTAGTTATAGGAATGTTCAAGTTTTTTATTTCATCTTGAATCAATTTTGTAAGCTACAATTTTCTAAGAATTTCTTGATTTCATTGAAATTTTCAAATGTATTAGCATATTACAAAAAATAGCCAGGCATGGTAATGCATGCCTATAGTCCCAACTACACAGGAAGCCACGGAAGGAGGATTGCTTGAACCAGGGGGGTAGAGGCTGCAGTGAGCCATGATTGTGCCACTGCACTCCAACCTGGGTAACAAAGGGAAACTCTGCCTCAAATATATATATAGCATATAGTTGATCTTATTATACTCTTACTTGCAGTGTAATATTTTAGAATATTTAATGTCATTCTCTTTTTCATGCCTGACATTGTCTAATTTCTCTGTTGGTTGTTTCCCTTCCTCTCTCTCTTTGAAATTTCACATCATCTGTATTTATTTAGCTGTATTTTTCTAACTTTGAGACAAGCTCATTAATGTTCAATCTTCATTATTTTCTAATATATACAATGAAAATTCTAAATTTCTTAAGAAATAAAGTTTTACAGCCTGCATAGGTGTTTCTATATAGTATTAATTACCAATTAGTTCAAATGTTTTCTAATTTCTAAATTATTTAATCAATATGTATTGAGGAGTATACTTTCTGGTTTATCTTTTTTATTATAGTTAAAAAAACTCATCACATGAGATCTACCCTCTTAACAAATTGTAAGTGTACAATACAGTATTAACTGCACACACAATATTGCACAGCAGATCTCTAGAAATTTTCACACCTTGCATAACTGAAACCTTATACCCATTAAACAGTACCTTCTCTTTCCCCCTGACCCAGCCACTGACAAACATCACTCTACTTTTTGCTTCTGTGAGTTTGACTATTTTGGATACCTCACATAAGTGAAACCATGATATATTTGTTTTTCTGTGACTGGTTTATTTCACTTAACATAATTTACTAAAAGTTCATTCATGTTGTCACAAATGGCAAGATTTCCCTATTTTTAAGGCTTAGTAATACTCCATTGTATGTATATACTACAATTTACTTACCCATTCATCCATCCATAGATGATTTCAATTGTTTCTGTATCTTGACTACTATGAATAATGTTATAATGAACATAGGAGTGTAGATTTCTCTTCAAGGTTTTGATTTTACTTCTTTCAGATATTACTGAGAATTAGGATTGCTGATGGTTCTTTTTAAATTTGGTGGGGAACCTTCATACTGTTTTCCATAGTAGTTATACCATTTTACATGTAATGTACAAGGGTTTCAAATCCTCCACATCCTCAACAACACTTGTTATCTTTTGCCTTTTTTAAATAATAGTCATTCTAGCAGGTGTGAGGTGATATCTCATTGTGGTTTTGATTTACATTTCCCTGGTGGTTAGTGATGTTTGGTATCTTTTCATAAACCTGTTGGCCATTTGTATGTCTTCTTTGGATAAATGTCTATTCAAGTCCTTTACCCATAAAAGTGGTTTTTTGTTGTTCTTGCTATTGAGTTGTATTAGTTCTTTACATATTTTAGATATTAGCCTCTTAACAGAAATATGGTTTGTCAATATTTTCTCCCCTTCTGTAGGTTACTTCTCCATTCTGTTCATTGTTTCCTTATTATAGATTACTTTAGACAGCATGGATATTTAAACAATATTAAGCCTTTGATATGGGAACACAAGAGGTCTTTCTATTTACTTGTATCTTTCAAACTTATTTCTTTCATATTATATAGATTTCACCTCCTTGATTATGTTTATTTCTAAGTACATTATTATTGTTGATGCTATCATAAATGAATTATTTTCATAATTCATCCTGGAATGTTTATTCTTAGTACATAAAATTACAACTGATTATTGTATGATGACTTTGTATCTGCAAATTTACTGAATTCGTTTATTAACATACTATAGTTTTCATGAAGTTTTTAGGATTTTCTGCAAAAAAAAGTATTTAATCTGCAAACAGAGAAAATTTTACTTCTTTCTTTCCTAGTTGGATGCCTTTTATATCTTTTTCTTGCCTTGTTGCTCTGGCTAGGGTTTCTACCATGAGGATGAAAATAAGTAGTAAGAGTGGACATTCTTGTTTTGTCCGGATCTTAAAGGAAACTCTTTTAGTTTTTCACCATTGAGTAAAATGCTAGCTGTGGACTTTCATGTATAGACTTTATTATGTGAAGGTAATTTTCTTCTATTCCTGGTTTGTTGTAAGTTTTTAAAATGAAAGATTGTTGAATTTTGTCAAATACTTTTTCTGCGTCTACTGTGATAAATATGTGATTCTTATTCTGTTAATATATCTGTTAATGTGATGTATCATATTAATTCATCTATGTACCAAGTTGAGCCATCCTTTTAACCCAAGGGTAAATTCCACTTGGTGAATGATACTTTAATAATGCTGTTGAATACAGTTTGCCAATATATATTCTTCAGTATTTTTGAATTTGTGTTTATCAGGACCTGCAGATGTTTGTTTTTTGCCTTTTTTGTTTGGTTATGTTTGAGTGAATTTATTGGAGAAGTCATCTAGACCTGACCTTTTCTTTGTTAGAAGTTTCTGATTTTTAAATAAAACTCCTTACTACTCATAGGTATATTCATATTTCCTATGTCTTTATAATTCAGGCCTGGGAGTTTACAGGTTTATAAGAATTTGTCAATTTCTTTTATTGAATTCATTGGCATATAATAGTTCATAATTATCTCTTATCTTTTTTATTTCTGTGACATCACTTGTAATGTCTACTCCTTCTTCTGATTTAATTTACTTTAATTTTCTCTCTTTTTTCCTTAATCTAACTAAAAGCTTAGCAATTTTGTTGATCTTTTCAAGAAAACCAGCTCTTCATTTCATTGATATTTTTTCTATTGTTTTTCTGTTTTCTTTTTTTTTTTTTTGCCTTAATATTTGTTAATTGCTTTTCCTAACTTTAGGCTTGGCATATTTTTCTTTTTCTAATTTCTTCAGTTAGGTTGTTTACATAAGATCATTCTTTTTTAATATAGGTGTTTATCAGTATGAACTTCCTTTTATTACTGATTTTGCTGCATTCCACAACTTTGGTATCTTATGCTTTTGTTTTTGTTTGTCTCAAGATTTTTTTTTTTATGTACCCATTGATTATTCAAGAGTGTGTTTAATTTCCACATATTTATGAATTTTCTAGGTTTTTTCCTCTTATGAATTTCTAGAGTCTGGCACTAATTGCTGGTTTTGAAATCCCCTACAATTATTGTATTGCTATCTACTTTTCCTTTCAGTCTTTCATTGTTTGCTTTCTTTATTTGGATATCTGATATTGGGTGGATATGTATTTAAAATTATCCTATCTTCTTGGTGAATTTACACTTTCAACATTAAGCAATGTTATTCTATGTCACTTTTGAAAGTTTTTGATTTAACATCCATTATGTCTGATATAAGTATTGTCACCTTTGCTGTCTTTTAGTTACCATTTACATAGGATATCTTCTTCCTTTTACTCTTAGCCTATATGTGTCTTTAAATCTATACTAGTCTCTTAGAGACATAGTTGGGACTGCTTTTTAATCCATTCAGCCTCGCTGTGTCTTTTGAATGGGCATTATAGTCTATTTACATTTGAAGTAATTATTGATAGGGAAGAATTTGCCATTGCCACTTTGTTCATTGTTTTCTGTCTGTCCTGTAGCTTCATAGCCTCTCTTTTCTCTCTTTCTATCTTTGTGTTTCATTGATTATTTTTGCAGTTACATGTTTGGATTCATTTCTATTTTTTCTTTTGTATATCTTCTATTGATATTTTCTTTGTGGTGACCACAGGGCTTATATAAAATATCTTAAAGTTGTAACATTTTATCTTGAACTGGTAACTTTAATTACATACAAAACCTCTAAACTTTTACTTCCTTTATCCACAGTTTACATTATTTATGTCACAAATTACATTCTTTTATATTGTGTACCTATTAATATATTTTACATAGTTTTTTAATACTTTCGTAAGTTCTGTCCTGAAACTAATTGCGATTTATGCTTGACCATTCTCGTATACTGTATTTCTCTATATGTTTACCTTTATCTGAAAGCTTCATACTTTTCTACGCTTTTGTGTTGCCATGTAGCATTCTTTTGAGTCAATTTGAAGAACTGCTTTTAGCTTTTCTTGTAAGGAAGTTCTAGTGGTAATGAACTCCTTCAGCTTTTGTTTACCTGGGAAAGTCCATTTCTCCTTTATTTTTTAAGGAAAATTTTCTTGGTTGTAGTATTCATGGTTCACAGTGTTTTTTTATTTTGCTTCTTGGAGTATATCATTCTACTACCTTCTGACCTGCAAGGTTTTTTGCTAAGAAATCCATCTACAGTCTTTTAAAGATTCCCTTGTATGTGCCATGCCAACTTTCCCTTCCTGCTTTCAAAATTTTCCTTGTTTTGACATTTGACAGTTTAATTTTAATGTGGACTTCTGTGGGTTTATCTCATTTGGAATCTTTTGGTCTTCTCGAATATGGATGTCCATTTCCTTCCACAATGTAGGAAGTTTTCAATCATTAATTCTTTAAATAAGTTTTCTGGTCTTTTCTCTCTCATCTGTTTCGGGGACTTCCATAATATGTATTTGGGTTCACTAATGGTGTCCTGTAAATCCTTTCTGCTTTTCTCATTTTCTTTCTATTTTTTTTCTTTTTGCCCCTGTAACTAGATAATTTCTAACAACCCGTTGTTGAGTTTACTGATTCTTTCTTTAGCTTGATCAAGTCTCATGTTGAACCCTTCCAGTGAATTTTTTAACTTAGTCATTGTATTCTTCAGCTACAAAATTTATTTTGGCAGTTCGTTTATATTTTGTATTCTTTGGTTGAAATATTTATTTTGGTCATACATGATTTTCCTGAGCTCATTGAGCATTTCTATGATGATTATTTTGAATTATTTGTTCAGGCACTTCACATACTTCCATATCTTTAGAATCTGTTTCTTCAGATTTATTTTATTCCTTTGTCAGGGCCATTTTCTCTGTTTTCATGATCTTTGATACTTTGTGGTGATGTCTGTGCATTTGAAAGAATGACCACCTCTCCAAGTCTTTACTGACTGGCATCATCAACACTTTTCTGTGGATGTGTCTGGTTTTGATTTATGCATGTGAATTCTTAAAATTAGAGAGATTTGCCTGTTTTTTTTTTCCTGTTAATAATCTCTTGATCCCTCTGTAATCCATCTGTTGTACTGAACCCCCTCTGGAGAGGCAGCACACTATTGAACTATTTCTGTTGTTGCTGTTCTCTGTGGCCACCAGGCATCTAGACTTAGCTAGATCCAATCAGAATTCTGGGATGGGCAAGATTAAAAGCAGCCACCTGAAAGACTAGACAGTAAATAGATCTTCAGTTTTCTCTTTCCTTCCCAGGTAGATATTGGGGGACTATGAGATTTCCTAATCATGTCCCATAGAACCAGGAGAGGGACTCTGACAGTGAATGCATACTATTCCAAACTGTTGACCTTGTTGAAAGTGGCCCCCAGCCACATAGAATATTCCCAGCCCTTGTAGACGTGTTCCTAGACAAGAGATTCTGAAGACAGTCTCCTGGGCACCTTCACCTTTCAAAAAGCCGGAATATTAGATGAATGTTTCAACTATTTTCTTCTCCAGAAAGAAGCCTAGATTTAAGAAATTTCACCCACTAGTTCTGTGCTGAGCTGGGAATGGAGCTATGGTGTACTAGTCAAAACCATTACCTTTTTTTTCTCTCTCTCTCTATGCAGCGCCTGGTTCGGGGCCATTTCTGTCAACACTCTGAGACAAGACAGAAACCATTCTTTTGGGCAGCCCCTTGAAAAGTCAGAATGTTAGATGAATGGTTCAGTCCTCTCCTTCCTTCTCTAGGGAGAAGCTGTGATTTGGAGGTTTTCTCCCAGTTGTGTACTGATGTGCCAGGGAAAAATACTAAGTAGAAAGGGTGCCATAGATTTTCCTACTGGCTTCAATGAAGCTAGATTCATGCTCACGTGGGATACAGAATCCTCTCTCTATCTTTGGAATTTTCACTAAGGAAATTTGTCAACATATTGTTGAATCAGTGTACTCAAAGTGGTGAAGAAGGATTCGGGACTTCCTATTTTTCCATCTTGCTGATGTCCCTCAACTTCATTTTTCTACTCTTTATATTCTTAATTGTTTGAGAATATTCTAGTTATTTGTTTTGTACTTGATTTCTACCTTAATTTCACTGTGTTCAGAGAACAAACTGTATATGATTTCAATTACTTCAAATTTGTTTGCATTGGCTTAATGGCCAACCAGCATCATGTTATTTTAAAAACAGATTTTTTTTTTTAAAAAAAGGAAACAAGCTAAAATTCTTGGGAAGAAAGTTTTATATATGTCTGTTATTTAATTTTGATAATCATATAGTTCATGTATTTTACAAATTTTAAATATTTTTATATTTTAATTATTTTATTAACAACTAGGAGGATATTAAAACTTGCACAATATGATTTAATTTTCCTATCTATTTGTAGGATTGTAATATTTTACTTTAAATATTTGAATGTTATGTTCAGGGGCACATAGAAGTTTAAAATTTTTATATCTCTCAGGACTTTCTTTGGTTATTTCCAACTCTTCTATTCAGTGACAAGGCAGGCTTCTGCTTAGTCTTGTAAGGAAGGTGGGAGTGGTAGTGATTTAATTCTGGCTGATTCTTATCCTGAACTTGAAATGAATTGTGGATAAACATTAATATGATATTGAATTCTATTATCTTATTTTCAAGTCCATAAAAATCTCACTTAAATTTCACAACTTGATTTTTTCTAGGTAAACCCTTACTTTGAGGATATTGTTTACATCTCAAGATTTTCATTTTTTGTTCTGTTTTGTCCTGCTATTTGTCTTTCAGATCTTTGATTTTTTGAAACTATTTTTTCATATATTATCCAGAATTTTGTTGTCTAACAGGAAGATAATTCTGTGTAATCTAGCCAACATTTACTAAAAATAATAATTTATGTTTTCTATACTTTTTTAAAGAATTTGATGCTGTTGTTTGAATGTTCTTACCATAAGGTCCCTTTGTCAATTAACTCCAGTTATACTGTTTGTTTTACTAATTTTTCATGTCCCCCACACTTTCTTCACTGTATGATTTGGCATATGTCTGGAAATTTTTTTCTCTCCTAGTTATGTAACTAAATCCCATTATCCTGCAGCTCAAATTTTAACCTCAGGGAAACTTTCTCTATTCCAAGGAAGGCTAAGTTTCCCTTTAATGCACTTAAAATATTATCTCTCTTTTATGGTATTTATCACAGTTACTCTTTTACATTCATATATTTGTCCGCAAGGAAAGTCACATGCAGGCAGGCCTATGTCTGATTTTGCTGACTGCATTATCATCAGATCTTATCACAATGCCAGTATCTATGCCCCCAAAAATATGTATGAAATAAATGACTGAAATAAATGAATCAATAAAAAGTTGGAATGTATAAATATTTACTTCAGGTATGTAGTTTAAAGTCTGGCCACTTAATGTTTTTACGTAATACATGTTTCTTTTTATTTTTTCTTTTCTATTACAAGAAATAGTTCAAGAGAGTCAGTAAGTACCAAACCTCTATAATGACAGCATGCATTTTATGATGACTTTTCTAAAGTTGTCTATAAAGAGAACAAAACAGAAGGCTGTTTCTTTGAAACATAAAATACAAATTTTAAAAACTTCTCCTTAGTGTAATCTTGAAATGTTAGAGAATTAACATATAAGCAACTTCAAGATTAAATAATGGGCTTACAATTACAAAGAAGAATATAAAATACCAAATTGATCATAATTGTAAAGAAATGTACATAAACTCTAACAAAGGACATGCTAAAATGATATTGAAATCTCTACCTCCCAAAATACAACAGGCTAAATGTTCTGTAAAGCATTTTTTGCTACGTTTTTGAGGAACAGAAAATGTCCACTTTCCCAGAGCATACAAACTTTTTCAGGACACAGTAAATCCTAGGATGTAATCCAACTCATTTCGTATGTCTAGCATAATCCTGATATGAAAACAAAATTGAACAAAAAGAGCCCAAGGAAAGCACTGGCCATTCTCATTTTCTGAACCTAGATGTGAAAATCCATAATAAAATTATAGCAAATTAAATTTAGCAATGTCTAAAAAATATACTACATCAAGAACAAGGATAATTTATCATATAATGTTGGGAGGGGTCAATATAAGAAAATGCATTGATAAATATATAATCTAATATACCAATATATTCAAGTAGAAAAATATACATTTCTCTCGATATGTTAAAAAATTGATAAAATTCAACATAAATTTGAGAAGTTCTAGGATACTTGAAAGGATTTTTTCTTTTGAGTAAGAATTATCTGTTGACTCTAATAGCAAAACAAAATATTTCATGAACAAAATTCAGTGGCATTTCAATTAAACTTAGGAAAAAATAGGCTTACCTGCTTTACTGTTACTGCTCTGCATTGTAGGAAAAGGAAAAGAAATAATAGGTATGAAGCCTTTGAAGGGAAGGGTCTAAAAGGATCAAAATAATTTTTTTGTAGTTAGGGTAATTGGATCATTTAAATACTAAAAAAATTCAAAGTGTTAGGCATATGAATTAGTTCATAAATATTGTTAAAAAGCTAGATCAGTAGTACACAAGCAATAGTTTTCCTAAACACTAACAAAAATAATGAGCAAAATCTCATGAGAGATAATAAACATGGTGGATTTACACTGAATTGATTTAGATAAGCTGGATTTTGTTTCCAAATTTTCACTTATACTTATCCAGGTTAGTGTGGTGTTACAGACAGTTTCCATGTAGTTTGGAAAGCAGAAGTATAACAGCTGCCATATTCTATTTACATCAACATAGCCTACAATTCAGCTGTTCCAGTCCCAGGTATCTACCTGATGGAAGCAGATATACATGCTCATCTAAAGATATGTTCAGATATATTCATAACAGCATTATTCATCTTTTCCCTCAACTAGAAACAAATCAAATGTGAATCAACCATATATTGGGTACATAAGTTGGGGTATATTTATGCAATAGAATACTACATAGCAAAAAGAGTGAATGAACTGCAACTATGGTATATAAAGTCAGAACACTGGTTACACTGGAAGATTAATGACCAGAAAGGGCACAAAGACTTCAGGGGTTGTATCTGTTTTATAAGTTAGATTATGGTTACATGAGTGTGTTTGCTTTGTGAAATTCATCAATTTGTACTCTTATATTCTGTGTTTTTTTTTACTCCCTTTTCTGTGCATATTACATTTTAATAAAAAGTTCACTTAAAAAAAAAACCTCTTTTGGATTTATCCAATACTCATCTTTCTCTTAAACTCCATATGTAAAATGTAAGCAAATCCTGTTGACTCTGCCTTCAAATTATGTTCATAATCCAGCCAATTCCCATCACCTCTGCAACTACTACTTTAATCTAAGTTACCATCATTTGTCAGTTTTTTTACATGGATTCTTGTAATGCCTTCTAACCGCAAATATTCTTCCTACTGCTTTACTTTGTTCCTTTTAAGTCTATTCTCAACATAAATGCCAGAATAATCATGTTTATAAACAAGTCAGATCTTGTTACTGTTGCTTAAAACCATCTGTGATGCTTAATTTTAGGTGTCAACTTGGTTGGGCCATGGTGCCAAGGTATTTGGTCAAACATTATTCTGGACATTTCTGTGCGGGTGTTTTTTTGGATGAGATTAACATTTAAATTGGTGGACACTGAGTAAGGCAGATTGCTCTATATAATGTGGGTGGACTTCATCCAATCTGCTGAAGGCCTTAATAGAATAAAGACTGACAACCCCCAAACAAGAAGGAATTCTGCCAGCAAACTGTCTTCGTACTCTGCAACTCTCCCTCAGTCTCCAGCCTGCTTGCCTATCCCAGCAGATTTTGGACTTGCCAAGCCTCAACAATTGTATGAGCCAATTTCCTAAAGTAAATATCTTTATATATACAGGCATACCCCTTTTAATTGTGCTTCACTTTATTAGATATTACAGATACTGCATTTTTCGCAAATTTAAAGTTTATGGCGACCCTGCTTTGAGCAAGTCTATTGGCATCATTTTTTCAATGGCATGTGCTCACTTCATGTCTTTGTGTCAGCACTCTTTAGCAATAAAGTATTTTTTAATTAAGATATGTACTTCTTTAGACATAATGCAATTGCGCACTTAATAGACTACAGTAGAGTGTATACATAACTTTTATATGCACTGGGAAACTAAAAAAGATCTGTGACTTGGTTTATTTCAATGGTCTGGAACCAAACGCACAAAATTTCTGAGGTACACCTGTGTAAACATCTGGTTAGTCCTGTGTTTCTGGAGAACCCCAATTAATACACTGCCCAATGGATTATCATCACATTTGCTGCAATATAGGCTTCTAATAACCCCTAAGTTTCTACACACTCTGCTGACCATTACCTCTCTGATTCCATCTCTAACCATTTTCTCTAACACTCCTCACTCCAACTACACTGACCACCTTGCTGTTTCTTGAACACATCTGAAAGTCCTTGACTTGACTCAGGATTTTTTCACCTTTTTTTCTGGCTAGAGTACTTTCTCCAGGTTTTTGCATGGCTTATGTTCCTTAAAATCTTTGTTCAACCTAGTCACACCTAGACTACTCTATTTGAGTTTATAATGACTCTTACCACTTGCTATCCACACTCCCTGCTTTTTACACTTTCTCATATTCTTTATTTATTGGTGTGTTGTTTATTTTCTGTCTTCCTTTCTAGAAGGTAATATCTATGGGGGCAGAATTTTTTTTTACTAATTTTTTTCCTGCTATAGCTTTAGTTCCTGTGACAATGCCTGTTACATAGTAGTTGCTAAATAAACATATGATGAATGGATGAATGAGTAAATGAAAAAAATATAATACAGAGTTTTTAGCGTAAAAAGTAATTAGCTAAACTAGACTTCAGTTTATGATATATTTTAAATTTAAGGATGGGATGAGTGAAGTTTCTTTATATTTGTCTATCTACTTTTGTACTCCTCCCTACCACCCTCACCCCCAATAATTTAAGATAACTGTATTTAATTTAATTTTCCTCCTTAGTAATTTATTAGTATTTATTTTCCTTAAAATCTTTAAATATGTACAATTTTAAGTGTATGTACTTTCAGTTTTCTTAAGCATCTTTTCTAATTCTTCTCTTATTCTCTATTCATTGCAAATTTTAAGGCTTCACATTAGCATTCAGTGTTTCCTGAGAAATAGGAGACTATCTTACTCCCTTACAGCCCCCTGGAAGTATAGTGATTTCTAAGCTAATAAGGAGACTATTAGATCGTATGTTGGTAACTGCTTGTGATCTCAAAATGTCTTTACGCAAATGTCAACAGCAAGGCTACTGATGGGTATCTCCTTAGTAAAAGAAGATTTATCTGCATAGTAAAATTCAGCAAGCCATGTCCAAAGTGGACATTATAATTATTTAAAATATGTGTATAAAATCAACTTGGGAAATATTTTAAAATGATTTGAACAATAAAATATTTTCAGCATTTATGATTTTGCTGTAAAAGTGTTCATTTTAAATTTGTAGATAAACTGAAACACTTGGAAAATTACTGTCAGCCTTCACTGTTTTAACAGACGAGTCTTATCTGAATTAAAAATGGACACGTTTTGCAACAGATAACAATGAATCTGTACCACATAATTTCTTAGGTTCCTGAGGCACTCCTGACAGGTAAATATACATGTTGCTGCATGAATAATTTTCATCTGCAACTTTTAACATATAATAAACAGGAATATCACCTAATTGGGGCAGGAGCCATATAATACTTTTCTTCTAATGAAAACAGAAAGTGACAAAGCAAGTTGATTTCTCTTATTTTAACCAAAAATTCTAAGAAATATTAAATACATTTAACCTGTGGTATGTAACCAATAACTTTCATATGCACAAAAATCTTACAATGTAGAAATAATTCAAGGGAGTCAGTATCAAGTTCTTATGATGATAGCATGTGTTTTATGATAACTTTTCTAAAATTGTCTATGTAGAGAACAAAGGTGTTTTCTTTTTGGCTATGTTATGCATTACATTGTAAACCATGAAGTGTAGTTTAATGAGGAAATCGATATTGAAAATTATATCTTACTCGTTTGGGATAAGTAGTGATTTAAGAGAATAAAGGAAAAACTAATTCAATATCTATAGATGATACAGAAGGGCATCATTTCCCTAAACTAAACTTCATTAATTTCTAAGAATTCATTTATTATAATTATTTTAGTTATTTGTTTATGGTGTATTAAAAACTTCACTAGATGCCTTATATACACTTATCCATTCATTTTCCCCTTGGGATTAACTGTCATGGTTTGCTTTGTTTTTGTAATCAGACTTCTCATAAATAAGATTGCTAGGATGTCAGAGGAAGGGTGCAAACAATCTCATTATCTTTCTTATCACTCTTGGAATAACTTAGAGTTCAGAAAACCATATTTTTTTTCAGGGAAAATCCAATAGAAGGTCCTCAAGATTATTGTGACCATGCTTTATGCAGTCACTTAGGAAGAACACCTATCTTTTGCTCTCTTTAGTCGTTCCTTTTATGTTTATTTCCATGTTTTTGCTCAGAATCAAGGTGGTATTCTTCCACTAAATGTATTCTTGAATGAATTCAACTTTAGTCCAGAAAAGAGAGACTATTCTGGTGGGCAGGGAGCTCTTTTGGAGATAGTATTATTCTAAAGATAGTGATGGCTATAAAACTCAATATAAAAGCCTTCATTTTTACCTTAAATGGGCAGCCACATACATGAGAGTTTGATGCTGCACCTAGCAACACAAAGAGTTGAAACACAGTGGTGCTATGTGAAAAACAAACAAACATATTACAGATTTATCAAAGTGTTTTTATTGAATTAATTTAATATGCCTGTTATGAATATACTTCTGTAATCCCAGCACTTTGAGAGGCTGAGGCGGGCAGATCACCTGAGGTCAGGAGTTCAAGACAAGCCTAGCTAACATGGTGAAACCACGTCTCTACTAAAAATACAATAATTAGCTGGGCGTGGTGGCAGGCACCTGTAGTCCCAGCTACTCAGGAGGCTGAGGCAGGAGAATTGCTTGAACCCGCGAGGCAGAGGTTGCAGTGAGCCTAGATAGGGCCACTGCACTCAAGCCTGGGCAACAGAGTGAGACTCTGTCTCAAAAAAAATAAAGAAAGAAAGGAAGAAAGAAAATACTGCATACAGTTCACATGGACTTTATGTGACTGCAAAACTGTCAGAATTTATTTGAAGAACATGTAGGTTAGCAAATAGCAGGTTTAGAAATAATTATAGCCAAGTGCTAATTATATATAATATTGAAGGTTTTAAAAATGTTTTAAAAAGGAGTCACATATAAGCCCAGTTCTCTGTAGTCATCAAGTATTTCTCTACAGAGAAGAAAAAATTTTGGTTAGTTTTATAGAGGATAAATTTGATATGTGAGAAACAGTTGGAAAATGATGTTTATCCTTGTAACTGTTTAACTTTCATCATTATTCAAAGTCTACTCCTATTGTAATCTATGTTTCTTAGTTTTTGAGAGTTAGATGGTTTCCTTGTGTATTAAGTTGGAGGATTTGCTAGTAAAAAGTCAGCGTACAATAATAGGTATCCATGTGATTCCCACAAGAAGTTATTCAAATATCAGAATCTAACACATGTTGGAGTAAGGTTTTCACACAGATTTTATGTATTAGTTTTCATATATTAATTTGCAGATAACTTATTCCAAGATTTGTCTTACATAAATGTTATTACCATTAATCTTAAGTTTTATGGAAGTTTTAAAGGTAGATTCTTGTGTAGATGCAGGTTTATAAATTCTTTCTAAGATATTCAGTGAAATGAATAAAAGGAACCAAAAATAGAGCTATATGAACTTCATTAATGTTAAAGCTAGCAAATAGATACATTATTATCTTATACATTCTGAGGAACAACTTCCATTTATAGAGAAATTAAAATCAGATTACAAAAAAGATTTTGTGAGTTGATAAATAATTTCCATACTCAAAATGGGCTGCACTACAATATGATGTAAGTGTATGCATTTCTAAAGTACCTATTCCTATCCCTTTATCATGAACCATAAAGTCTGGGGACTTATCAGAGAAAGAAGATATGAAAACCACTCCATATATGACCTATTCCAAAACTGGGGATTGGCAGTGGCATCAGGGATAAAGAAGAGGCTGCACAATTTTACCTAGTCATATTTTTTTGCCCCTAACTTCTGGATAATTTAAGGTGAAGATTAGAGAAGATGAGAAACAGGTCAAGGAATAAACTGTGACGAAACTATAGTTGCAGAGCAACCCTGAAGCATAAATGAGTATACACAGAAAATATATTTTATGAAATAAAAATACAGAACCAGAAAAGATTTTAACACCAGAAGAACAAGATTATTCTAAGCTACAATTTAAATGGGGCAGATAGGACTTGTGTAGATTCTCTCCCATTCAAATCTCAGAAAAAGCGTATCCTAGTTCCATATTGGAGGAGTCAACCACCCCATATGGAAAATATTTGAAAAAAAATTAAAAATAATACAAATAAAAAATGAAACTGTATAACCACTATTTAAAGAGCATTTACTTTATATTAGGTGTTACAAATAATGTAGAGATTTAAAGTATATGGGAGGATGTACATAGTTTATATGCAAATACTAATACATTATATAAAGGACTTGAGCATCTGAGGATTTTAGAATCCAGGAGTTCTGGAACCAATCCTTGTGGATACCAAGGTACAATTGTATTACCTACATAGTATTGATGTTATTATATTTGTGACATTCTTTCAGCATATTTCATGTTCAATGTTATCAATTTTTTAAAATTACATGTTCAATATTATCAGATTCAGTTTAGATGTGAGCAATGGGAGGAAAAATTTCATTGGCTTAAGCTTGATAGAAGTTTCTCTTTCACATAACAGTTTGAAAATAGGCTGATATGAAAATTCTGCTCCACCAATTCCTCAGGGACACAAAATGTCTTGCATATTTCTACTCCACTAACTCCTGGTATTATATTTACCTTCATGAAAGATTGAGCTCCAAGACTAGTATTTATAGTCCAAAGAAAAGGAGTAAGGCATAGATGGCAACAGACAAGACACAAGGAATGCATTAGTTATCTGCTAAGGAATATTGTAAGAAACTGCTAGATGACAATTTGCTTAAAGATTAATCTCCAAAATACTAGACCCAAATCAAGTCTGATATCTTCATATGATGTATAGTCCTATCTATAGGTCCAGAGTTTAGATATTTAAATGACACATAAATTAATAGACAATTTAACTTTCTATAATCCCCCAAATGTAGTGGTTGAGTAGAAACAGGATATATACAATAAAAATTCCCATTCAGAAGAAAGAACATTAAAAAACTCAGCAGTTTTTGTTTCATGGCACTGACCAAAACTTAACTAGGTAAGAACTGAGAAGACCTCATTTATTACATGGAATACGTGCCATGATTATTTCAGCAGGCAGCCTTTGGTTCTGCTCTAGGGGAAATTTCCTTTTTCTTTGTTCTCACAGTTCTGTGGCCCCAGGCTCTTCTACAGTGGGCTGGAGAGTTTTGTAGCTTGCCTCACATCAGATAATGTTGTTGACTCTGATAGCACTGACTTTATTCTGAATTCTTTAAGTGAGTATAAGCTATTTTATGTAACACAGTGGTGTCTATGTCTGTCATTTCAGTCAACCCGATGTTACTATTGACACTTTGTTGTAATGGTTGTATAGTATGTTCTTATAAATACATATAACTATTTGTTCATTTGCAAATGATTGACCAGGTTGATTATTATATGGATTTTGCTTATTTTCCTCTGTGGTTGTATATCTGATTATCCAGAAAAGCTTTACATGGAGTGGGATTATGGTTGGTGATGAGCATCCCAGGAACATCTATTAAGATACTCAAGAGCCCAGAGATGTATTATGTGACTGAGAACTATTCAGTTAGACTATCATTTTATACAATTATTAAGATAGTTTATTATATTTGAATTTTAGATAACTTTTATTGAATTTACTAATATATATCTGATATTTAATTTACACAATCTCAGTTTTTTTTGTATTTTTATCATTCTTACATCAATAACAATTGGACAATTGGGCTAGATCTGAAATAAATAAAAAATAAAGACTTTTTTTTAACCATTTAAGAGTTATATTGTGACCTGATCAGATAATACGCAAAACAAAAAGACTGCACCAAAATAAGCTTGGAATGGAAAGGTGGTAAAACCTTCCTAATTTTTATGTTTTGGGAAAATGTTCCACAACTTGAACAACTAACTGTTAAAATACAGTGTTTAGAAAATGTTGACATCTATTGTATTTATGGGAAATATATATTGACTCATGATTATTCAAATAACATTCCATAATTGCTCCAAAACATAAATTGTGAACAATAGAGCTTTCCTGCTTCACTAACTTTTTAAAAGCCTGAATTTGTCTCTTTATATAAACTTTAAGTCTCTGCAGTATTTATATGTAGCATTTTAACTGTATGAATCAAAACATATTACCCATATATAGTCTATTTATCATAATAAATTAGTCTGTCCTTTCTTTACATTAACAATCTCGCAACTGTAATTAAGATTCATAAGAAGAAAAAATTGCTAGATTTTTAAAACACTGGATATTGATCCATTGTAATGATACAAGCATTTGAAAAAAATTTAGGGGTAAAATAATTTTGTTCCAATTTTAAGTGAATTTATATTTAAAATGAATTATTAGAAAGGAAAGGTGCATTTCTCTTAAACTATATAATTGACTTTTAATGCAGAAATCTTTATAAGGCTATGGATGTGGTTAACACTAACTTCAACTTAAAATGGTCTCTAAAGTTAGAAGATATAAAATGGAGGTGGAATAAAAATCTAACTGTTAAGATGTTAGCGGATTAAAAATTTGCAAGATATGATTGTAATTTTAAAGTTCTTAATAAGTTTTACAACACTGCAGTCTATGTGGTTTCTTAGATAGGCTTTTAATATAGACACAGCATAATTTTTAATAATTAAATATAATGTGATTTTTGTAAGAGAAAATAAATAAAAATTATTTAAATTAATAGATGATTTCCACTGGACCAAAAAGTATGCTGCCTCATTCTGTGCTAACTTTTTGTACTGAAAGATTAGTGTGTTATTTGGATAAACAGATCACTAACTGGGTTTTATGTTTACTTTGTTGAGATAAATTTTAGGAGATGGATATTATAATATTTAGAAAGATTTTCCACTTCTTTATTGCAATATATATACTTAAAATAGCATATTCAGAGTTCAAAAATTACATTTATATTATTTTATTATTTTTATTACTGTTTTTATTTAAAGAGATAGGGCCCCACAATATTGGCCAGGCTGCTCTTGAACCCCTGGCCTCAAGTGATGCTCTGGGCTCAGATTCCCAAAGTGCTGGGATTACAAGTGTGAGCCACTGCACCTGGCCCCATGTATATTATTTTGCTAGCATTTTATTCTTCCTGTTTTTCTTATTAGATTGATCAGATTAATTTTTTGCCTATTGCAGATTATTTCTAAACCAAATAGCAATATTTATTCTAAAATAACTTTTAAATATGCTGCGATATGTAATATTTATAGAACAAATTTGATTAAAACTAAATTCACATATTATCCTATGTTTTGAGCATCAATAAAACAGTTCAAAATTTCTTTGGATGCCAGAGAGATCAATAAGCTTAAATCTTATGTTAAAGCAAGTTCCATTTTAGTTACCAAGTTTTGCTTAAATGAAGAGTGCTTTTCACTAACCTCTGTGACAATATGAAAACATTTGGCTGCAATTAAGAAACTAAAGTTTTAAAAACTGTGTGTTGCTTCATATTGTTATTAAATTGTCCTCAAGATTTAATTAACTAAAATATTGCATTTTTGTAACCTATTTTCAGCATCAGTAGTTATGTACTTTCTGTGACAAAAATATCAGAGGTCAATGTCTTAGCTCAGCCTAATTTAAGATAAAGTTAAAACAAAGATCCATTTATCTTTTTCTCTCCCTTTTTTTTAAATTTTTATCTTTTGAGACAGAGTCTTTTGCTGTGTCACCCAGGCTAGATTGCAGTGGCATGATCTCAGCTCACTATAACCTCCGCCTCCCAGGTTCAAGCAATTCTCCTACCCCAGCCTCTCCAGTAGCTGGGCCCACAGCACATGCCACCACGCCCTGCTAGGTTTTTTTTTTTTTTTTTTTTTTTTTTGGTGTTTGGTGTTTGGTATGTTTAGTAGAGACAAAGTTTCACTATGTTGGCCAGGCTGGTCTCGAACTCCTGACCTCAACTGATCTGCCCACCTCACCTCCCAAAGTGCTGGGATTACAGGCGTGAGCCAAAGTCCCTGGCAGAAAGACCCATTTTTCTATAGTACCAAGTACATTAGTAGAGTTTGAAAAAATATGATATTGTATAGACTTAAGTTGCAACTGTATAATACAAAATAAAATATAAAAAACCATATGCTGTTTCTATTTCATTCAGTTATCAAGATGAATTCATTTATTCTTCAGAGATGCTATTTTTATTACCCAGCAGTGTGATGAATTCTGGTGTTTGGGAGAGTGTCTGTGGACAAAGAAGCATCATAAAGCATACCATGGAAAGTCCAATTGCACTGCCCACATGCACAGTGCATGTATAAAGCACTCAATACTAACCTTAGTTACATAAATGAAGAAACTAACCAACACTCATGAAAGATACCTTGTGGTAGAGATATGTTCAATGCAGGATGTTTTACAACCCATGTGTTCACATGTAAGAAAGAAATTAATATAAGAAAATGTATATATTTATTTATTTAACATTTATTTGGTATTTTTTGTTGCTCTATATTCTTGGTCACCAGATAGAGAATATAAGTTCCTTTTTTTTTCTTCCATTCTCTGCTTTTTTTTTTTTTTTTTTTGCTATCCTACACTTCATGCACTCATCTTTCAGTCTCTCTTCTGTGTCTTTCCTCTACCTTAGTACATCAATGTTCTTTACACTGGGAACAATGACAAAACTTTGAGGTGACTGTTTAAAAGGTCACATATGATGAGATCTGACTGGAAGTGACCCAAAGAACCTCTAAGGAGTTTAGTTTTCATAGGCATGATGCAACAGGCTTGCACAATCAAAGTAAGAGGAGATACAAAAGAAGAAAATAGTAAAATCTGCAAATAGATGAGAAATCAAGGCCCCACCACTCATTTAAAACTTTCCACACTGAATCACTGGTTTGCACTTGTTGGCTAGTGAATAAAGGATAATTTTATTAAATAGCAATTAAAATAAATAGATAATTAAACTCATTTTCATTAATAGTGACTTATCGGTATATGGCTGTAATCATTGTCTGGAGAGACATAATCTAGAGAAGGATCTCCAAGGGAAGTTAAAATGGTTGAAAGCATAGGAATAAAGATATGCTTGTAGAAAGGAAATGATAGGCATTGGTGTGAAACGGGAGAATAATATAAACCTATAGAGGATGTGGATGGAAAGAATGGCATTAGTGAGAATAAAACAAGAAAAAATAGGATAAATCCATGTATGTTAGAGCACTTCTTTGAGAACTAGCAAACAGAAGACCATTAAATTCATCCTTTTGTCCTCTGTGTGATGAATATTACTTTATTATTTGAGACTGCTGTTTCCATAGCCAAAAAATTAATATACAATGTAATTATCTGGATATGACCTAATAATGTCAAAAGAATCTTTTCTCTTACATCAGGTCATAATTCTGGTTTCTACAATTATATATTTCATCACATAAAAATTTAGCACAGGAAAATTTGAAATTGGTGCATTTACATAGGGCAATACTTTAGTGTAGCTCTAATTTCCAAACTTGACATAATTATTGGAGTTCTCCTTTACTAAAGATACTGAAATGTTTGCATTTCAAGAAAATCAAGAAGATAACATGCTAAGTCCTTTTAGTTACTTCACTAAACTACAAAGGCTTGGAAGTGACACCTGATTCTAGATTTTCTGAAATATATCTATCAATAAAGAAAAGCTATAGATAGACCTCTTCAGGAAATCTAATGGTGCTCAGCCAGGTTAAAAAAAAAAATGTACTTGTGGGCTGGGCACAGTGGCTTCCGCCTGTAATCCCAGCACTTTGGGAGGCCGAGGCGGGCAGATCCCGAGGTCAAGAGATCGAGACCATCCTGGCCAACATGGTGAAACCCGTCTCTACTAAAAATACAAAAATTAACTGGGCGTGGTGGCACATGCCTGTAGTCCCAGCTACTTGGGAGGTTGAGGCAGGAGAATCACTTGAACCAGAGAGACAGAGGTTGCAGTGAGCTGAGATCATGCCACTGTACTCCAGCCTGGTGACAGAGCGAGACTCCATCTGAAAAAAAAAAAAAAAAAAAAAAAGTACTTGTGTAAATGAGAATCAGAATTTTAGCTATTAGAAAAAGTGTCTTTTTGTAAATTAACTTTCTATTATTCTCCTAGCCCAAGTGTTAATGTAATATTTTGTGGTACTTAATGTCAAAAAGAAGCTGCTGCTGAGAAATAGTTTCTTGTTAGCTTCCAAATGTCACCTAATCGTAACAATCAATCTCAAAACTAAAGGTACTAAACCTTTATCCTGGACAGATAGTAGAATGAAAATGCCTCTGGTTAATACTTTATAGTATGACTTTGTATTTAGTTAATTAATGATCATGGAAATGGACTTGGTAAACCAATTTAAACAGAGGAGTTTATCATGAATCAAGGTGAAAAGATTAAGGAAGCTCTAGAAAGAAATGGTGTGATAAATATTCATATGAAACCCAGCTTCTTAAAAAAATTAAAAATTTTAATAGTTAAATATAGTTCCAGAATAGGAGGCTTATTTGATTTTACATTTAAGACAGAGAAATTCATGTTTAATATCCAAATTTAATTATGTCATTTAATTTTATTTTTGGGAGTTCCAAATTACATAATCAATAGCAGTGTAGAATACATTATCAACTTCTTTTTTATTTTAAATGTATTGGCTCAATCTAGTATAATTTTCTCTATGTTATCATAATTCTGGATATCTGAAAAAGTTACTTTAAAAATATTAGTTGAAAAGTCTACATTTTAGTTTGTCTTTGTCCATTATATTAATAATTTGTCTGTCTAATAGGTAAAAAAATTTAACTGTAGAATTTTTCTTTCTTTTTTGAAAAAAATTGTAATATGTCATAAGCAGCCTTAGCAATTCCCCCATGTAAAGCTGCCTAACCACTAAACTTCTACTTAACAGAAGAATATGATGAATAAATTATTTTAGGTAATTTTGGTGGTTTTTTTTGAAAACTGATTCTGTACCTGTATTAAGAAATATTTTTCATTCTTAAGTTTAATAGTATTAAAGGCCTTGTGAAACAAGACATATATTTTTTCTTATTCCTTGACATATGAGATATGCGAATTCTATGCCACATAGTGAGTGAATAAACAATTGTCTTCAAACAACAAGGATGAGCTAAATGGAAGCAAATAAATATTAATAGTATAATTTCTAGAATTCCTTTCCTGTTAGCCCTCCTATTACTCAAAGATATTACTTTGGATATACATAATTGAGAACCATTGGCTTAAAAAAAGTATTTATCTAGGAGGAAAAAGAAAATATCTTCTCTACCTCTTTCAAACTACTGAAGAGCTGTGATTTAATTTTACTTTACCACAAGAGTTTTCTTACATGTCCTATCCTAAAGCAAATACTGAAGAATGAAGCAAAATGGACTACTTAATTTCATTTATAAAGTTGTCAGGTACATATTGTCTCTCCATATAAAAGTATGTTTTGATTTCATTCCGAAAGGTTAAATTGAGAGAAAACCATATCTTGTAAGTCACAGAACCAGTTGAACATCAAATCATCTACATTCTCCTAAACTCACTGGATAAACCTTTTTTAAATAAATGATAAAACATTCAAATTTTGCCTGTCAAGTAATGACACCTAAGGAGGGCCATGTAAGTACAATTTTCCAAAAGTTTTACATTGCACAATATTCCATTCTCAATACAATCATGAATATTCATGATAATATATTCATTTTAAATTTCTGGCACTGGGGTGAATATTTCTGAATTAGTATGCCTGATAAGAGTACAGCACATTACTGGAAGTTGAGATGAATGCTGGACTCCTTTAACCTTTATAAAATCTGTTTTTGAGTTTTTGCCTACTTCTTTTCCTCTCATCACAGCAGCCAAAGCCATAAACTCAGTGAAAACAATGAGAAAATTAAGTCAGCAAATACAAAACGTCATGAGAAATGATTGCCAGGAAGAGTCACAAGAATTTTCCAAAACTCTATTGAACTATATTCCCAGGACACCAAGTGGGGAAAAGCAACCATAATATATAATTGCCTTCATATACAATGAATGACCTGAAATTTATAAATTTTTCTTCAATTGGTATGAAGAAATTAAGTATTTGACCTGGTAGGTAAATTGTAGAACTTTTTATAAAAAGTATGAATGTAAGAATGAGGGAAATAAAGAACAAGGGAAAAGAAAAAGACAATTTGTTTTACTTTTTAAAATATCTACATCTTTTCTGTTGAGGTTTATTCAAACAACCATTATCAAATTCAAATTAGAACAGCTTAATAGGACTAATGAGTACACATAACAAATAACTATTGAGTAATTTCTGAAAAGATATCAACCTTAGGAAATAAAAGGCTAACTGTGCTCTTAAAGCTTCATTATATTTGGAGTTTGCTAAAGTGGTTCTTAAACTATTTTGAAAATTAATAGAAACTAATTGTCATTTTTTTCTTTGTCTTATAAGGTATGCATTTACCTTTAAATGACCAGGAAAATGAAGAGGGTTATCAACGTAAAAGAAGATTATTTCTCTATTAAAAACTTAAATTATCATGATTTCTTTCAAGATTTGTCTTTTATTCTTTGTGTTTTGCTTATTTTTAAGGGCTGTATATACATAATCTTTTTTATGTTTAAGGAAATAAACAGTAAGAAGGATGGTCAATTTGAACAGCTTTATCTATGAACTAGGAAAAGCCAGCATCCTAATGTATCACGTTTATTTTATCCCTTGAATGTAATGGACCTACAGGATTCCAGGTGCGCTGGGTCTCAGCACCACTTACCCTGTTAGAGTAGAGCAATGGCAAAAAGCTGTGGTGTTCCACTTTTCATCGAGTTCCTGAAACCCTTGGTTTACCTCTATGTTGGTCAGGTTCTCCACAGACACACAACCAATGGGCTGTGTTTATATATAGAAATAAATTTATCTTTATGGAATTGGGTCATATAGTTATGGTATCTGACAAGCCCCAAATCAGCAGTGTGAGCCATCAGCCTGGAGTCCCAAGGAAGAGTCAATGTAGCAGTTCAAGTCTGCAAGTTGTCAGAATAGTATAATTTTTTCTTGTTCAGGGGAGGTCAGTTCTTTTGTACATTAAGGCTTTCAACTGATTGGATGAGGCCCATGTACAATATGTAGGGCAATTTACTTTACTCACAGTCCACTGCTTTAACTGTCAATCTCACAAAAACATTCAGAACAATGCTTGAACAAATATCTGGGCACCATGACCCAGCCAAGTTTGGATGTAAGATTAACCATCACACCTTCCAACAAAATTGCAAAATGTAAAACGCTGCACAACCTAATAATTCTCTGTCTTAAACAGGTACACAGTTGCTAGAATTAAGGAGAATTGAAGAGGACTGATACAATGGTGAAATGAGGATATCTGTAAACTTTTCCTTTATAAAAGCAATGAAAATACTGGCAAAAATGATCAAAATTGACTTTTTATATTTTTATTTTTTTGAGATGGAATTTTACTCTTGTCGCCCAGCTGGAGTGCAATGGCAATATCTTAGCTCACCTCAACGTCCGCCTCCCGGGTTCAAGCAATTCTCCTGCCTTAGCCTCCCGAGTAGCTGGGATTACAGGTGCCCTCCTCTACACCTGGATAAATTTTGTATTTTTAGTAGAGACGGGCTTTTGCCATGTTGGCCAGGCTGGTCTCAAACTCCTGACCTCTGGTGATCTGCCCACCTTGACCTCCCAAAGTGCTGGGATTACAGGCATGAGCCACCGCGCCTAGCCCGAAATTGAATTTTTAGAATGGTAATTAGAAAAAGATTTGCAAAAGAATTTTTTAAAAAAGAATAATGTGAAGTGAAGAAAAAATTGCTGAACTTTGGTAAGAACAGTGGGCTTTGTAGAATTTTAACTCAGCCTACTCCAACCGCCCCCTGCTTCCTCCAGCTCCAAGTAGACTTGCAAAGCAGCCGCTTCACATTATAGTACATGTGAAAACCAGCAGCCTTGCAGCCATCAGAGAAGGCCGACTGTAGGTGGAATTCCTCATGAAAGCCCCATCCCAGTTGTAGTGTCACTATTTGATGTACTTGGTAGCTTACTAGAAAAGTCTCATTCTCAGAGTGATGTTGTTTTTTGATTGACATGGAACTCATTTGTTAGATAAAGGCCTATGCCCAGAGAGATTTTCAAAAATAATTAGCTACAAGTTTATTAAGGCTGCAATATCAGCTGAAACAAAGAAAAGCTTGATCAAAAACAGAAAAGGAAAACCTGTGTAATAGTTTCCTAGGACTGTTGCAACAAAGTATCACAAATTTTGTAGCTTGAAATAACAAAAATTTACTCTATTACAGTTTTGGAGGCAAGAAGTCCTAAATCAAATTGCTGGCTGGGCTATGCTCCCTCTTAAGAAATAGAGAGGAATCTTCTCTTGCCTCTTTTAGCTTCTGGTCATTGCTAACATTCCCTGGCGTTCCTTGGCTTGAGACTTCACTGCAGTTTCTGTCTCTATCTTCATCACATGATTGTTTTTCTTCTCTATGTGTCTGTGTCTCACATGGACTTCTTATAACAACAACAAACATTAAATTTAGAGTCCACCGTAATCCCATAGAGTCCCTTTTTTTTTTTTTTTTTTTTTGACAGAATCTCACTCTTTCCCCAAGGCTGGAGTGCAATGGCACGATCTCGGCTCACTGCAACCTCTGCCTCCCGGATTCTAGCGATTTTCCTGCCTCAGCCTCCCGAGCAGCTGGGATTACAGGTGCCTGCCACCACGTCCAGCTAATTTTTGTTTTTTTAGTAGAGACAGTTTCACCATGTTGGTCAGGCTGGTCTGGAACTCCTGACCTCAGGTGATCCAAACGCCTCAGTCTCTCAAAGTGCTGGGATTACAGGTGTGAGCCACCACGCCCTGCCCTTTCATTTTAAATTAACTAATTACATCTACAAGTATTCTATTTCCAAATAAGGTCACATTCTAAGGTTCCAGATGACATGAATTTTGGGAAGATGATACTCAATCCATTACAGTATGGAAATAAGACACCCAAGGGGTTGTGAAAAAATCTGACATATTCTTGGGGATCAGGAAGGCTGTGTGCATGTATAGGACTGTGTGCAGTCCACAGAAGAACTAAACAGACAACAATATCTCACCTCTGGTTGACCTTGAGGTCCAGTGCAAGCAGGCAGTAAAGGCTAAGGCAGATTTATAAAATGTCTAAGCATTGAAGACATGCCCCAAACCACACACTGAGCCCCTCTGCAAAGTGTAAAAGACGTAGTGGTTCAAGACATTCAAGGAAATATCTGTCCAATAATTAGATGGCCACTAGCTTAACTGAGCTTCCGGATCTTGATCCCACTATTTTAAAATTTTTATTGAAAGCTCTGCTCTTATTTTCAGCTGTTAGGGAAGCAATGTTTTTGACACCCATTGAGTAAAATAAAATTGCTCAACTTTAATTTTTCATTTAGACTTGTGTAAGCTAAACCAATTGAGATATGATGCTAGTTATTGTTTATGCTGTTAATCATTGGTCCTTTTCAATTAGGGCATGGACAAGATTAATTTTTTCCTTGCAAATTGCTGTGAATTGTCTGTGGCTGAAGGCTTCATCTTTAACGACATCCCATCTCTTCTTAAAATGAGTTATCCACTTGTAAACTGCTGATTTCTTTGGAAGCATTGTCTTCACAAACTTTGCAAACCATTAATGACTTTACTGCTCTTCCACTGAAGTTTCATTCTGTTATTTGATGTTTGTTCTTGCTTCAATTTTAGCAGAATTCATATGGCTCTGATTGGAGCCCTTTTCAAACTGATGTCTTATTCTTAGTTCCTTAAACTAGATTCTATTCAGACATGTTATAATGAGTTGGTATGAGTTTATTTTGGCACAAAACTTTTTGATATCTATGTGTACATAGGTTTACCAAAATATGCATTGTCCATGACTTTTTGAATATCCCTCATGTACCACAAACTCCAAAGCACAATAAGGTATTATTTCTAAGAAGCTTCGCTAAGAGAGCAAGTTTTTTAAATCTTATAAAAGTTACCTTATATTATGTATTGCTATGCTAGAGAATTTGGGATACAAAATTTTTCACTTCAAGAGTCACATTTCCTTAAGTCAGTAAAAGTGATGTGGTTACCTAAAAACTACATATGCCACCATTACATACACACACACACACACACACACACACGCAATTGCACTACATAGAAGAGACATATAACAAATAAAGCTGCAAAAGTATAGAAAAAGCAAGAAGTAAATCCCTCCTAAATTTTATGTATTACAGAATATGTAATGTATATTTTTTCTAAATAAGTTATTAACTTTAGTAAACTCTGTTAAAATACTCCAGAAACAAAATATAATCTCTCTCTGAGTAATTTTTATAATAATATGTTTTCTAACTGTAAAACTGTTCACTTTTTATTTAATTTCATCAATGTTTTATAGTTTTCAGTTCACAAGTCTCACATCTCCTTGGTTAGATTTATTCAAAATTATTCTATTCATTTTGGTGCTATTGCAAATTGGATTGCTTACTTAATTTTCATTCCTGGTTTCTTATTGTTACTGTACAGAAATAAAACCAATTTTTATTTGTTATCTTTGAATCCTACTGCCTTGCTGAATTTATTAGCTGTAACGTATGTACGCATGTGTGTGTTTGTAATCTTTGCTCTTCTCTCCATATAAGATCACATCATCTGCAAACAGAGATAATTTATATTGTCCCTTCCAATCTGTATGTCTTTTATTTGTTTTTCTTCCCTAAATACTCTGGCCAAGATTTCCAGTACAGTACTATGTTGAATAGTGGTGGTAAAAGTAGATGTCTTAGTTTATTTTCTGCTGCTATAACAGAATACCATACACTAGGTAATTTACCTTATAAGTATGTGTGCTAACTGATTGTGCCACTGGTGCCACTCACTAGGTAATTTATAAAGAAAAGAAGTTATTTGGCTGAGAAGTCCAAGATAAAGGGCTGCATCTTGGGAGGACCTTTATGCTGCATTTTCCCATGGTGAAAGTCAAAGGGCAAGCAAACATGTGAGATAGAGAGGGGAAATTGGGCCAAATTATTATTTTTTTAATCAGAAGCCCATTCACCAATAACTAACTCCTTCTCATGATAAGGGCATTAATCCATTCGTAAGGGCAGACTCCTCACAACCTAATCACCCGTTAAAGGTCCCGCCTCTTAATACTGCCACAATGTGAATTAAATTTCTACTTGAGTTATGAAGGAGACATTCAAACCATAACATTGGGCTTCAATTTTAGCAGAATTCATATGGCTCTGATTAGAGATCTATATCTTGTTCATGATCTCAGCAGAAAAGCTGGAGGTTGGTTCCTCAAAATGGTTAAGAAAATTGGCAAACCATTATCTAGATTAAGAAAGAAAAATAGAAGACTCAAATTACTAAAATCAGATGAACTTAAGTGTGCATGTGTCTTTATGATAGAATAATTCATATTCCTTTGGGTATATATCCAATAATGAGATTACTGGATTGAATGGTAATTCTTTTTTTTTTTTTGAATGGTAATTCTATTTTAAGTTCTTTGAGAAATCACCAAACTGCTTTCCACAATGACTTAACTAATTTACACTCCCACCAGCAGTGTATAAGTATTCTCTTTTCTCTGCAACCTTTCCAGCATCTGGTATTATTTGACTTTTTAAGTATAGTCATTCTGACTAGTGTAAGATGCTATCTCATTGTTGATTTTGATTTGTATTTCTCCAACGATTAGTGATGTTGAACTTTTCTTCACACGCTTATCAGTTGCATGTATGTCTTCTTTTGAAAAGTGTCTATTCATGTCATGTAACCACTTTTCAATGTTTTGTTTGTTTTGGTTTTTGCTTGTGAATTTAAGTTTTTATAGATTCTGGATATTAGACCTTTGTTGGATGTATAGTTTGCAAATATTTTCTCCCATTTTGTAGGTTGTCTGTTTACTCTGCTGATAGTTTCTATGACATGTATCTTTTAAATCTATTGAGACATAACTTGTGGCCTAACATATGGTCTATCCTGGAAAATGTCTCGTGCACTTGAAAAGAATGCATAATTCTGTTGTTGGGTTGTTGGGTTGTTGTATGTGCATTAGATCTAGTTGGCTTCTTGTGTTGTTCAAGTCCTCTATTTCTTTCTTTTTTTTTTTTTTTTTTTTTTTTTTTTTGAGATGGAGTTCCATTCTTGTCGCCCAGGCTGGAGTGCAATGGTGCAATCTCAGCTAACTGCAACCTCCACATCCTGGGTTCAAGCAATTCTCCTACCTCAGCCTCCCAGGTAGCTGGGATTACAGGCGCCTGCCACCACACCCAGTTAATTTTTGTATTTTTAGTAGAGACAGGGTTTTACTTTATTGGCCAGGCTGGTCTCCAACCCCTGACCTTAGGTGATCAGCCCACCTCGGCCTCCAAAAAAGCTGGGATTACAGGCATGAGCCACCATGCCCAGCCAAGTCCTCTATTTCTTAACTTACCTTCTGTCTGTTCTATTCATTATTGAAAATGGGATAGTCAAGTCTCCAACTACTATTATAGAACTATCTTTCCATTCAAATGTAAATTTTTACTTTGATATAATTTGGAAGTCTGTTATTAGGTGCATGAATATTTATAATTGTTCTGTCTTCTTGTTGTATTGAAGCTTTTTAAATATATGATATCTGTAGTCTCTTTTTTTATTTAAAATCTATTTTGCCTAAAATAAGTATAGTTACTGCTGCTCTATTTTAGTTACTATTTGCATGGAACAGTGATATGGTTTGGCTGTGTCCCCACCCAAATCTCATGTTGAATTTAGTTCCCATAATACCCAGGTGTTGTGGGAGGGGCCCAGTGTGAAATAATTGAATCATGGGCGTGGTTATCCCCATGCTGCTGTTCTCATGATAGTGAGTACTCATGAGATCTGATGGTTTTATAAGGAGCTTTTCCCTTTTTGGTCTGCACTTCTCTTGCCCGCTGCCATGTGAAGCAGGACATTTTTGCTTCCCATTATGCCATGATTATAAGTTTCCTGAGGACTCTCTAGCCCTGCATAACTGTGAGTCAATTAAACCTCTTTCCTTTAAAAATTACCCAGTCTCGGGTATGTTTTTATTAGCAGAGTGAGAATGGACTAATACAAATAGCTTTTTCCATCCTTTCATTTTTGACCTATTTTGCATCTTTGGATCTCTAATTAGTCTTTTGTAGAACAAATATAGTTTGATAATTTTTTTATTCCATTCTGTCAATCTTTGTCTTTTGATTGGATGGCTTAATCCATTCATGTTTAAAGTAATTACTGACAAGAAGAAGCTTAATTCTGTCATTTTACATATGTTTTCTATATGCCTTGTACCTTTTTACCCCTCATTTCCTGCATTACTCTTTTATGTTTAGTTGATTTTTTTGTAATGAAATATTTTAATTTCCATCTCATTTTCTTTTGTGTATATTCTAAAACTATTTTCTTGTGCTTACTATGAGAATTACATTCAACATTCTAAAGTTATTACACTCCTATTTGACTTTATACTAACTTAACTTTTATAACATACAAAGACATTCCCTAACAAACAAAGTTCAGGAAGTTCCTTACCACTAGAACTGCTCTGCAAACAATGCTAAAAGAAGATCTTCACATTGAAGTAAAAGGACACTAGACAGTAACTCAAAGTTGTATGAGGAAATAACAATTTCAGTAAAGGTAAATATATGGGCACTTATGAAAGCTAGTATTATTGTAACAACAGTTTGTAACTCTACTTTTATTTGATTTGATTTAAAAAACTAATGCATTTAAAGAAAACAATTATTTATGTTTGGGATGTACAATATATAAAGATATAGTTTTGTGACATCAATAACTGAAAGAGATAAGAATATACCTGTAATAAGTTTTTGATACAGTTTAATTTGTTTAGTGTGCTCAGCATTCCATCTTGTGATCTTCATACATTCTGGGTTTAATTTTGTATGTATTACATTTTACATATTGTCATCTACAATTTAATGGGACTGCAACATTTATAAACTCATGCATCCACCAACTTAATACTATGAAAAACAGCTTCATCATTCTAAAAGGCTTATATGTGGCCACTTTGAAGCCAACTCTTGCCTTCTTCCCAATCCTTGACAACACTGAACTGGTTTCTATCCCTACGGTGTTGCTTTTTCCAGAATATTATATATATTGGATCATACAATATAAAGCTTTGGGGGTTTGGCTTTTTTTCACAAAACAAACTGAATTTTAAAATCCTTCCATGTTGTGTTTGAATCCATATGTTATTATTTTGTTTGTTCAGTAATAACAATAATTTGAATCATACAGTATGCAAACTTTAAAACTAGCTTCTTTCAATAAGCAAAATGTCTTTGAGATCCACCTAACTTAGTGTTTGTATCAATATTTATTTCTGGTGTTTAGTAATATTCCATTTCGGGGATGCACCATAAACCAATGTTGAAGTACTTTGTCACTGCTACCAATTAACATATGAATGAAATTCATATACAGAATTTTGCGTAAACATGTTATTAATCCACCTTACTAAATATCTAAGAGTGAGATTGCTGAGTTATTGAAAGCACAAGTTTAATTTTATATGAAACTGCCAAGTTTTCTTCCAAAATGGCTGTTCCATTTTCCATTTGCGTTAGCAATTAAGAGCATTCCTGTTGACTTATATCCATGCTAGCATTTAGTATTATCAGTTTTGGGGATTTCAGCCATTAAAATAAATATGTAGTGATATCATATTGTATTTTTAATTTAAATTTCCTAATAAGAGATGATGTTGACAATCTTTGTATGAGCTTATTTTCCAACTGTATATCTTATTTGGTGAAGTCTCATTTCAAATATTTTGCTTACTTATTAAATGGCTATCTGATTTCTCAGTATTTGTTAGGATTTTTCTTTATATATTCTGAAAAAATTCTTTACCATAAATGTGGTAGCAAATATATCAGAATCAATACTTTCCATCCTTTAATCCAGTCAAGTTGACACTCAGTATTAACCATCACAAGTCCACCCCTTGTCAACTTGAACCCATACACATCACCTGAGATCATACGTAATCCTCAAATAAAGACAATGATAAGATCATAATTACAGCTAACATAGTACAACTGTCCTTCATACAACTGGAAATGCACCAATCCCCAACCCAAATACTATTATATAAAGGTAACAACACTTAAATGCTGATATGAAGTCAATAAATCTTATGTCACATGATAAAGGAAAATGAAATAAACTGAAGATATTTTCTTAGTACAAATGTATACATGCACAACAAAAGAAGGAGGAAATACTCATGACAGTTACAGTCCTGGTTTCTGCAGCTGGTCACGTGGTCGTAGCTGGTATTGATGGCTACCTTCTTCTACTACCCATTCTGTGTTGCCTTTGCCTTCAGCAACCACCTCAGCAGGTCATGGTTTTTTTACCTGGTGGAGTGACCCAAACCTTCATTCCTGAGGAGTCTGGACCATTTGTAGTCCTGCCTGTATTGGGCTGTTGTAGTTTTCCATTGACCTTAATCACAGGGCTTGGTAATACTAAGAGATGCCCTAATGGATCTTCTGTATTCTATGCATACTCCTCCTTACTTCCATTATGGAGTAGCAGCCTGATTTCATCTTGATTGTCCAGGTCAATCACCCCGGCCAACACTGTAGCTCTCTTCTTAGCCTGTTGACTTACAGGTAGGAGTAACCCAAAGTGTCCAAGTGGCAACCTTAACTTCCAGTTTAATGGAATTGTTGTTGTGTCTCCTGGTGGCAGCCTTCCTCCCTCTCGAACTAAGACCTCTAAGCCAGCACAACGTAATGTCACAGGAACAGGAAGCAAAAATTTTGCTAGTGGATCACTAGGGGTGATGGTGAGTGGTACCACTTCCACTTCTACCCCTTCATTTCTGGACCCATGAAACCTGGCTTTGGGAGAAACAGTACCATATATTGGATGCTGATTCAGAGCATACACAGCCTTCTGGAGAACTTTGCTCCAGCCCTGCAAAGTATTGTCACCTAATTGGCATTGTAATTGTGACTTCAAAAGGCCATACTACCATTCTATCAATCCAGCTGCTTCAGGATGATGGGAAACATGGTAAGACCAGTAAATTCTATGAGCATGAGCCCACTGCCGCACTTCTTTAGCTGTAAAGTAAGTGCCTTGGTCAGAGGCAATGCTGTGTAGAATAGCATGACGGTAGATAAGGCATTCCCATGAGTCTATGGATGGTAGTCTTGGCAGAAGCATTGTGTGCGGAATAGGCAAACCCATATCTAGAGTAAGTGTCTATTCCAGTGAGGACAAACCTCTGCCATTTCCATGATGGAAGAGGTCCAATATAATCAATCTGCCACCAGGTAGCTGGCTGATCACCCCAAGGAATGGTATCATATCGAGTGCTCAGTGTTGGTCTGTCTCTGCTGCTGGCAAATTGGGCACTCAGCAGTGGCCGCAGCCAGGTCAGCCTTGGTGAGTGGAAGTCCATGTTGCTAAGCCCATGCATAACCTCCATCCCTGCCACCATGGCCACTTTGTTCATGGGCTCATTGGGCAATGATAGGGTTGACTGGGGAAAGAGGGTGAGTGGTGTCCACAGAAAGGGTCATCCTATCCACTTGATTATTAAAATCCTCCTCTGCCACATTCACCTGTTGGTGAGCACTCACATGGGATACAAATATCTTAACAGTTTTTGACCACTCGGAGAGGTCCATCCACATACCTCTTCCCCAAATTTCTTCGTCACCAGTTTTATAATCATGCTTCTTCCAAGTCCCTGACCATCCAGCCAAATCATCTGCTAGAGCCCATGAATCAGTATATAATCACAAATCTGGCCATTTATCCCTCCATATGAAGTGCACAAACAGGTGCTCTACTTGAATTTCTGCCCACTGGGAAGATTTCCCTTCACTGCTGTCCTTCAGGGATGTCCTAGAAAGGGGCTGTAGTGCTGCAGCTGTCTACTTATGAGTGGTGCCAGCCTATCATGCAGAACCATGTGTGAACCAGGCCCTAGTCTTCTCTTCCTCTGTCAACTGATCATAGGGAACTCACCATGAGATCATTGGTGCAAGCTGGAGGAGAGAAGGCAGGGTGGCAGGAGTGGAGACTAAATGCATTTGAGCCACTTCCACATGTAACTTACTTGTGACTTCAGGACCTACTCGAGCCCGATCACGTATATACCACATCCATTTGATGATGGAATGCTGCTGTGTATGAGCCACTTTATGGCTAATGGGTCAGAAAGCACCCAGTTCATGATAGGCAATTCAGGTCACATGGTGACTTGATGACCTATGGTCAAACATTCAGTTGCCACCAAAGCCCAGTAACAGGCCAAGAGCTCTCTCTCAAAAGGAGGGTAGTTATCTGAAAAAGATGGCAGGGCCTTGTTCCAAAACTTTAGAGGCGTCTGCTGTGATTCACCTATGGGGGCTGCCAAAGGCTCCAAACAGCATACCCGTTTGCCACTGACACCTCGAGCACCATTGATCTACTGGGTTATATGGCCCAAGTGGCAGAGCAGCTTGCATAGCAGCCTGGACCTGTTGCTGAGCCTTCTCCTGTTCTGGACCCCACTCAAATCTGACAGCCTTTCAGGTCACTCGATAAATGGGCCAAAGTAACACACCCAAATGAGGAATGTGTTGCCTCCAAAATACAAATAGACCCACCAGGCGTTCTGCTTCTTTCCTTGTTGTAGGAGGGGCCAAATTCAGCAACTTATCCTTCACCTTATAAGGAATACCTCAACAGGCCCCAAGCCACTGGACCCCTAGAGATTTTACTTAGGTAGAAGTTCCCTGAACTTTAGTCAGATTTATTCCCCTTCCTCTCGCAGACAAATAGCTCACCAATAAGTCCAGCGTGTTTACTGCTTCTTGCTCACTGAATCCAATCAGCATAATGTCATCAGTGTAATGGACCAGTGTGATATCTTGTGGAATCAAAAAGTGATCAAGGTCTCTCTGAATACGATTATGACACAAAGCCGGAGAGTGATCCAATTTCATTGCCCTTAGCCAACATGTGTATATGTATGTATATGTATATACATACACACATATGTATACATACACACACAAATATGTAGATATGTGTATATCTGTGTATACATACACATGTGTATGTATATATACATACATGCATATGTACATATGTATATACACATGTACATATATATATCTACACACATATACAAGTGTATACATGTGTATATATACAGGTGTATATATGTATACATGGGCATATGTGTGTATATGTATATATGCATTTGTATATATGTGTATATATCTGTGTATACATATATACAGGTGTACATAGGTATATCTTTATATATACATGTATATACACATATATACACATGTATATACACATATATACATATAATATGTATGTATATATACTATATATATGTATATAGTCATTCTGATGGATATGTAATGATTTTTCGTTTTCCTTTTACTGTTTCCCCTGATGGTTAATTATTTAACATTTCTCTGGTTGCTAGTGATATTAAACATTTTTTACATGCCCGTTTGTCATCATTATATTCTCCTTGGTAAAGAAATACCTTGCGCTACGTTAGAACATATGCTAATGTAAAATTTTGTTTATTTCAATGGTCCTTGCTTTCATTTCTGTAATTGCAAAATCAATGCAAATATGTCTACTTCAAACTGAAGATCACTGCTTATATTAATAAATGATATTCAGTTGCACAGATAATACTCTTTACAAACATAGATCTGATTTTTGATTCATGGATTAATTTGGGTATTGAGTGTTTCTAGCATTTCCAGGAGAAGATATTCGGTATGGCAGGGATGTAAGCTGCATATGTGAACAAATGGGAGATAAGGCTGGGTCCAAATTTTGATATTATGAAATTTTTGCATTATATTCTACAGCTATATGTATTAAAAGATATTAGATGGCATATATTGCTATATAAACCTAAAGTGCAATCATTATTATTGTTCATAACTATTTCCATCTTTACCAAGGTATAATTTGGCCTCTTAGCAATGTTCAATTTATGTGCCAGATCAAATTAAAGATAGATCTTCCAGGGGCTTGATATATGACTAGAAGATATCTAAAACTCCTTATAGTCTCATTTGTATATAAAACGTTATTATTAATTTTTAATAATCATGTGACATGTGAGTTTTGTGGTGTGTTCTTTTAAAATGTCTGCAAGCTTTTTATAAGTTAATTATTCCTTCTGAAAAACTCACCTTGTAATATGTTCAGTGCCAATTAACTTTATTACTGGGCGGTTAATTCCTTCTTAAATGACAGACATTCTCTTTTACCTATTTCTTAAGATAACATATTAGCATGGAATACCTTTTATTATGTTTGGATAATGGAATAAACTGGAGGTTTATTTTTCTTGTTCAAGTCATCAAATAGCATTTATTATGGCACCAATTTTACCCAGCTCTGTTCTGGGCATACAAAATGAATGAGAGTGTTACTGCCATGAAAAAGTTTTCACATTCTCAAAGCCGAAGACATTATGAAAGCTTGGGATGCTGAATTACGAATTCTCAACTTTCATAAGATGAACAGACTGCCCAAAGATGTGTCTTGTCAACCTAAAAGCTAAGGGCTTTTGTGGTAAGAATTTTTTTTTTTTTTTAAGACGGAGTCTCGCTCTACTGTCCAGGCTGGAGGGCAGTGACGCGATCTCGGCTCTCTGCAAGCTCTGCCTCCCGGGTTCATGCCATTCTCCTGCCTCAGCCTCCCAAGTAGCCGGGACTACAGGCGCATGCCACCACGCCCGGCTAATTTTTTTGTGTTTTTAGTACAGACGGGGTTTCACCGTGTTAGCCAGGATGGTCTGGATCTCCTGTCCTCGTGATCCGCCCTTCTGGGCCTCTCATAGTGCTGGGATTACAGGCATGAGCCACCACACCCAGTCAAGAATTTTTTCAATAATCATCATTTACAAAATTAAGGCAGAAATAAATAAGTTATTTGAAACCAAAGAGAACAAAGACACAACGTACCAGAATCTCTGGGACAAAGCTAAAGCAGTGTGTAGAGGGAAATTTTTAGCACTAAATGCCCACAGGAGAAAGCAGGAAAGATCTAAAATCGACAACCTAACATCACAATTAAAAGAACTAAAGAAGCAAGAGCAAACAAATTCAAAAGCTAGCAGAAGACAAGAAATAACTAAAATCAGAGCAGAACTGAAGGAGATAGAGACAGGAAAACCCCTTCAAAAAATCAGTGAATCCATTTTGCTTTTTAATGTCTGTGCTCATAAATGTTAAAGTCTGTGAATAATTAGTTCGATATACATACACCAAGAATAAAGACAGATGATGAACCTGACACATTGACATAGACTTATAGATTTTAGTGTTTCTAAATGTTTCCCATGAACAAGAAAAAATATCTTAAACATGCACAATTTTTTTGCTATATGTTAATTTTTATGGAGAAAAGATAGTACCCAGCTACCTTCTGATGTACTTACAAGTTGAATTTGCATAATTAAAAACAAGAAAACACACAGAGAAACTCTTCCACTCCCCCAAAATTGTTATGAGATTAAAATTTCTTAAATTTTATTTGTGTTTATGTATGTGTATATACCATATTACCAAAACTGTAAGAAAGAAGACTTTAAATGTGTGTCTATGTGTGTGTATGTGTGTGTTTCAAGATAATCTAAAAAAAAGACAATTCTAGGACTTTGGTAGCACTATGGGTAGCATTTCAGATTATCACTTAGTAGAGTAAGAATGCATCATCCTGCCTAAGAGCTTTGACAAGAGCTGAGTACTGGCAGAAAAGGACATTGGTAACCAAGATACATCATTTACAGTGTGGCCTTCTTATGACTCCTGTCAAGTTACAGCATAATCTGAAGAAAATAAACATCACTTAAGGTTGCAATGACCTTCTAAGGGCTTGTTTTTCAGAGCAGAGGGTAGATGGCACAACACCATGAGTAACTGAATATGATTGTACTGAAGCAAATTTGATAGAATGTCATTTTCTTTAAACTCTGCTTGTGAGTTCAATGTCTAACATATGATTATTTAATATTTCTGCAGACTAAAATATGTCTGTTACATGTCTAAATTTTTTTCTGATTTACTTTTCTGCATAAAGTTGATAAAAACATATGTGCATGATACCTATCAAAATGTCTGCCTCAATATGATAGAGATATAATGAATAACAATATAACAAACTTATTATATGTTATGTTTCTCATAAATTGAACCAAAGAACATTGTTCATCAATGTATGAAGAGAACTAATGTGGAAGATGTTTGGTGTCAAATCAGAAGACAGTACAATAATTTGCATGACCTTAACAAACCGGGTGACTTTTAGAGGATTTGAAATGGCCATATAGGAATAGTAGCACTCTAGAGAAAACTTACAGTTTATTTCAAACAGCAGTGAGAGCTCCTAGTCAAACAGCAGAAAAACAAAATGGACAGAATATATTTTCTTGAAAATCTCAGAAATAAAAACAAGAGGTCTGAAAAAAGATAGCATATAAAATAAATAATAGTCTAATAGACAATTCTGAAGAGAATATTGATTACTAGAATTTAGAAATGAGGATGCACCACAGAATACAACAGAGATAAACATATGACAAGTACTGAAAGTCGAAAGATTGGAAGAACAAATTGAGAAGTTTCCATTTTGTCTAAGAAGAATTTCAGGAGACACAACCATAGATAACCGGGGAAAGAAAATATTCAGAGATAAAGCTTATAATTTTTCAAGAATTGAAGAAAATTTTAAATATCAGTATTGAAAACATGTTGACTGAACTTGATTTAAAATAAACAAAATTCCTATTTAGACAAATGCTAGTTAATGAAGACTCTGCAATGTGTACATGAAAATCTAACAAACCTAGCCTTTTCTTCCTGTAGCCTATGTCCTCTATGTCATTTTCTATACACACCTTAATTATTCATGTCTATATGCTTAATCTTATGTGTGTGATTTTTTTTCTAATGTACATGGATCTTTACTTTTACTTTTGGAAATCCTTTCTAATCTTCCATTGTATTTAAAATACCTTGTCATCTCACAAAATATTGTTTTTCCTGCTGTAATAACCTCCAGCTTCTTCTCTGTGTACATATTTTAAATTTCTTTTTATATTACTTACCTATTATACAAAGAAACAAGACTTATTTATGTTTACATCCTCCATATTTTTCTCTAGTAACCTGTCCTTAGTAGATCCTTATAAGCATTCTGTGAATAAAGGCCTAAATAAATGAACCCAGATTAAGGTCTTCAATTATTTCAAGCTATCAAATCAGCCCTATTTAAAAGTTTGCTTTAGTAGAAGCCTTAATATTTTAATACTTTAGTATAAACACAGTTGGGTCTCATGAGTTGTAGTAAAATTTTCTTAGTTATAATAAATGGAAGCATCTTCCACCAGGATGCTTTTATTTAGTGGATATGAGATAAGTAAGGGTTAATGAATAAGTTTTTTTTTTTTTTTTACTCTAGGCAAGTTAAATACAAGAAAGATCATTCAATTATCTCTTATTATATGAGTAATGTGAAGAGATTTCCATTGAAATACAAAAAAAGAGTAAAAGAATAATGAATTCAAGTGAGTTAGTTCAATAGCATATTTCCTCATACTAGAGATTGATTAAAAAAATTAAAATTTAAACAAGATCTATCAATACAAATTTGGAAAATGTCTGAAAACCATGTGTCTTGAATTGTGCTAGTGGGACACTTTAAGCCTGAGCAAGCTTCTTTCAAGCTATAAGTACAGTACTCTATGATTTTATTTTGAAGTTCAATCCCTTTCTGTTTTGTTCATTCCATCCAGTTGGATCAATTTCTCATTTCTCTATTAATATTTTATACTGTTTTACTACTCCATGTGAATCAGCTTTTACTTAGTTATTTTATTCTCTTTTCTATATCTATTTTAAAGAATAACCCCTAAAGGCAGTTTGAAAGATGTAATAGAGTAACAATTATAGAAGAAAACAAGTATGTGAATGGGTGGGTGAAGGAATGAATGGATGGATTCTGTCCAGAAAGGCCGAGATGCAGAATATTGGGAAGTGGATATTCTAAACATCAGGATCTTCTATAAACACTACAGGACAGGCAAAGACTTGCTTTTCAGTTGGTGATATTTTCATACATATATTTGAATTAATGGTGTACTGTGTTGCATATGCAGATTAGAAAAACAACACTTGGCTGATAAAAATTACATTGTAACTATCAACTTCAGTTAATTAAAAATGAGAATTTTTAATAATTTGTATTTTTAAATAAACCCACATATAAATCCAAAAGAGCTCTGCAGAAAGAGTAAGAAATATTAAGAAATATTTGCATCAAAAGGAAAACAAATGCCTAAATTTTGACAAAGGTAATGGGTGTAAGAAGTAGACCATTTTTAACTCAAAGCTATGCTAGAGAATACTGTTATAGTATCAGATTGTCTGAGCCATCACATCCTAATTAGATCATGACTCTGTAATATTGACAACTTTGAATCTCTCAGATAAATATCTCAAGAGAAAAAGATGACTAACAGAAAACTTAATTTAAAATCTCAATCTTTTCTGGTAACCCAGAAAATATTCTGATAACATGCAATTATCTTTAATAATCTTAGATAATGGCTGTATGATACGGGGAATGTCCTGTATATCCATTCCTTCTGAGAAACAATTGTGGTTACAGTTGGCATTTTTGAGTGTAAGTGCTGCTTCTATAATAGCAACTGCCCTGAAAAGTTTGGCAATAAGTAAGATTAATGACTGAGAACCACAAAACTATGTTGGAATCACTGTTATTTATGAAACATCAGGAACATCCATCTCTGTCTGCTCATTCTAGAACTGCATAATGGAAAGAACACAGAAATGGAAGTCAGTTGGTCAAGGTCACAATTTAAACTCTGCCTCAAACTGGTTGTGTGACCTTGGTCATCTTTCATAAATCTAAGGTGTACCTATGTTACAGCAATGAGTGGATTACATTAGATTGACACTGAAACCTCTTCTAGTTCAGCTCTAAAATTTTGTAAATCTGAAACATTTGTCAGCATATAAGAAACATATGTACTGTGAATTGAGAGAAACTCCTGCTACCATTCTACAAATAATTAAACATTTGATTTTAATCTATGAACTACGAATTTTCTACATTTTTCCTCTTGTTTATACCATTGCAGGCTTATTTCTAATGCCAACTTTTATCATCTAAATTTAATCTAAATTTTAATATCTGACAACGTAGAAACCAACTATTTGGCATGCAGTTGTTTACCTAAAAGATCCAAAGATAAATACTTTGCAGATAACCTGAATAGCCAGGATTTCCAAATGTTCTGTGTTTTGTAATGTGTTAAATCACTTTTAGATCTGATGTGCTATTTCATTATACAAAGAAAATTTAGTAGAAATAAAAACCAATTAAATATTGCTTCATAAAATGGCCGATGGATACCAGAAATACTAAAAAATACAAATTTCTGTAGAAATACCATAGAATTACTTGCTAGAACATACTGAAAAATCTAAATGTGAGCTTAACCCAAGGGCAATAAACATAACTGTGGGTCTTAATGCATTTAGTGTTGCTAAATACATGAGGCTGGGAAATTCATAAAGAAAACAGGTTTATTTATCTCACAATTCTAGTGGCTGGAAAGTCCAAGAACATGACACTAGCATCTGCTTGCCTTCTGATGAGGGCCATGTGCTGCTACAAGACATGGCAGGAAAGTGGAAAGGTGAGGGGTGTGAGTAAAGAGAGGTCCCAAAAAGGAGGGGGAAATAATTCTTTTATAATCCACTCTCGCAGTAACAAATCCATTCTGGCAAGAGGGAGAACACACTTATTTCCAATGAGATAGCATTACTTCATTCATAAGGGAATTGCCTACATGACACAAACAACTCCCACTAGGCTCCACATCCCAACATGGTTACAGTGGCAATTAAATCTCAATATGAGTATTGGCAGGGACAAACCACATTCAAACCACAGCAACTATGACAATCTCAAGCTGATTTAGTTCCCAGTAGAAATATTAGATTTCCTATAATCCCTGATTATAGAAGCCAGGAAAAGAGGAAGTGAATAGTAGAAAATGGAGGATGTCCAGTTACCATATATAGTTAATTTTGTGTGTCAACTTCACTGGACCACAGGACCCACAGATTTGGTTAAACATTATTTCTAGTTGTGTCTGTGAGGGTATTTCTGGATGAGATTAACATATGAATTAATAGACTGAGTAAAGCAGATTGCTATCCCCAGTGTGGGTGGGCCTCATTCAGTTCTTTTAAGACCAGAATAAAATAAAAAATGATGTAAGAAAGAGTTTTCTCTCTCTCTGCCTTACTGTCCTGGACCTGAGATATTGGTCACTTTCTCCCTTCCAACATGGACTAGGAATGGAACTATACCACTGACTATCCTGTATCTGGATTCTTCAGCTTCCATAATTATGTGACCAATTCCTTATAATACACACACAGGCACATACACACATTCTATTAGTTTTGTTTCTCTGGAGAATCTTTACCAAAGCACTCTATATCTGATGGGTTGGCCACCACTGGCTAAAGAACAGCCTATCTCTGGAACAGGAAAACTAAAAATGGACAACGTATTGTTCCTTATCACTGTTGGCTTAAGCATAGGTATCTAAACCATTATGCAACTGTAATAATCCAATACACATATATCTATTTCCCCCTCACACACATAGTGCAGACTCATCAGGAATGAAATCATGTCTGGCAGTAAACAAAACAGAGTCATTCTATATGAATTATTATAATAGAAGTTAATATTTACTTGAATATTTACCATGTGTGAGGCTCTGAGCTAAACATTTTTACAATTATCATATTTGATTCTGCAAAATTCCAACAAGTACTACTATCATAATCTGCATCTTGCAGATGAGGCAACTAAAATTTAGAGAGGATAAGTAATGTCCATTTCATATCTGAGAAGTAATATTCCTGGTCTTAAATTAAGTCTTGATAACTTTAAAGCAATTCTTTTAATCAATTGCTATAAATTTTGAATATTGGACTGTAACAGTGGCAAAGTGACCCAAGAGAACAAGACTTCTAGGATCACAGGATGTGCTGTTTACTACTTTTTATTCAACAAGCAACTCATGTTAGTCTTTGGTTGAGTAACATCTTGAATGTTTTAATCTCTATAAAGCTCTTGTAGAGCATAAATCATGAGTCCTTCCATTTATTCCCCATAGGGGCTACCACAGCTAGGAGGCCAGAGTGCTCTGGCTTTTCCACTGATAAATTTTTATTTTACAATATTTGATATACAAGTATTCACATATTGTACACTTTTAAATTTAGTTATGTGAAAATTCAGATGAAGCATATGAACACATTGAGTATACAAATAGCAATTTTCAAAACAACTTTTTTTAAGATTAAGATACAGGACAGATAGTAAAATAAATTTTTCCTCCTGTTTTTGTCCCTAAACAACCTTTATTTACAATTCAAATATTTCCTGCCTCTTGCTTGCTCTTCCCTACACTGCCTATATACAGCAAAATAAATAAATAAATAAATAAATAAATTAGAGGAAAACAAGAGACAAAGGGGAAACAATGTTTGCCTTTTACCATTAAGAAAAAAATATAAAAATAAAACCTTTCCCCAGAAAGGGTTTGGGAGGCCATTTCCTTTCTCTCCAATCTCAAAAATTATTCATGAGTAATGTTCATTATCATCATGTGATTATCTAATAATATATTTAGGTCACTCTCATTTCCATTAATAAGGAATGATCTATATTCACATTTCTGTAACTTAGTTCATCTTCTCATCAATTCTAGTAATTGAAGAGATCTTTCCTCAATAAATGAAGCATATGACCAGCTTCACAAACTTTACTCTTCTTACAATTATTATGTTTCTTTTTACAAAAATAAAAAGTAGAATATATTCCATTGTCTGTAAGAGTAAAATTTTAAAATAATTTAAGGAAATAGCTTTGGTAGTAATACATAAGGCTCTTGCTTCCAAATGGCAAGGAGCTATGGGAGAATTGGAGAGGTGTTCTCATTTGCACAGTAAACACTGTAATTGTTTTTCCTGTGGGAATGGAAAGTATAATATATATGGTGTGCTTTTGCTGGCAATTTTCCCTTGGAAAATTAAACTTATCTTATTTGGATAATATTTTGTCCAGAATTTTACCAGTGACATGACTTGGATTACTCTGTTCATAAAATCTATTAGCTAACAGATAACCTCAAAAATTGAGAAACATGACTTTACAAAAACAGTTATGAGGAAATGTATCACTTTTCAACAATTTTTTTTAAAATTCTGCATAGATATTTCCCCATAAAATAAATGTTTAAGTAACTAAAATAATTTTGATATATTTCTAATTATTTATCCCTAATGATAAAACTGTCCTCTTTGGGGAGAGGGGGAATCCATCTTTTTTACTTCATTATAAAAACTAGGGGCTTTATAATTTATATAAACCTAAAATTTTAAAATTGTACAGGCACATATTACTTAGGACCAGGAATATAAGATTTTTTTAACTTTTATATTAAGTTCAGGAGGTACATGTGTAGGTTTGTTATGTAAGTAAATCCATGTCATGGAGGTTTGTTGTACAGATTATTTTGTCATCTTGGTATCGAGCCTAGTACCAATTAGTTATCTTTCTTGATCCTCTTCCTCCTTGCACCTTCCACCCTCTGATATATCCCAGTGTCTGTTGTTTCGCTTTATATGTCTATGTGTCCTAACATTTAGCTCCCACTTAATAGTGAAAACAGGCTGTGTTTGATTCTTATGTTAGTTTGCTAAGGATAATAACCCCAGTGCCATCCATGTGCCTTCAAAGGGCATGATTTCATTTTTATGGCTGCATAGTATTCCATGGTGTGTATGTATCATATTTTCTTTGTCCAGTACACCATTGATGGGCATTTAGGTTGATTCCATGTCTTTGCTATCGTAAATAGTGCTGAGATGAACATATACATTGCATGTGTCTTTATAATAGAATGATTTATATTCCTTTGGGTGTATACTTAGTAATGAGATTGCTGGGTAGTTTTATTTTTAGATCTTCAAGGAATTACCAAACTATTTTCTACAATAATTGAACAAATTTACACTCCTATCAACAGTTTTTAAGTGTTCCTTTTTCTCTGCAACCTCACTAGCACCTGTTATTTTTGACTTTTTAATAGTAGCCATTCTTACTGGTGTGAGATGGTTTCTCATTGTGGTTTTGATTCGTATTTCTCTAATGATCAGTGTTGGTCAGCTTTTTTTTTTTAATTTAATTTAATTTTATTTTATTATTATACTTTAAGTTTTAGGGTACATGTACACAATGTGCAGGTTAGTTACATATGTATACATGTGCCATGCTGGTGTGCTGCACTCATTAACTCGTCATTTAGCATTAGGCATATCTCCTAATGCGATCCCTCCCCCCTCCCCCCACCCCACAATAGTCCCCAGAGTGTGATGTTCCCCTTCCTGTGTCCATGTGTTCTCATTGTTCAATTCCGACCTATGAGTGAGAATATGCAGTGTTTGGTTTTTTGTTCTTGTGATAGTTTCCTGAGAATTATGATTTCCAATTTCATCCATGTCCCTACAAAGGACATGAACTCATCATTTTTTATAGCTGCATAGTATTCCATGGTGTATATGTGCCACATTTTCTTAATCCAGTCTATCACTGTTGGACATTTGGGTTGGTTCCAAGTCTTTGCTACTGTGAATAGTGCCGCAATAAACATACGTGTGCATGTGTCTTTATAGCAGCATGATTTATAGTCCTTTGGGTATATACCCAATAATGGGATGGCTGGGTCAAATGGTATTTCTAGTTCTAGATCCCTGAGGAATAGCCACACTGACTTCCACAATGGTTGAACTAGTTTACAGTCCCACCAACAGTGTAAAAGTGTTCCTATTTCCACACATCGTCTCCAGCACCTGTTGTTTCCTGACTTTTTAATGATTGCCATTGTAACTGGTGTGAGATGGTATCTCATTGTGGTTTTGATTTGCATTTCTCTGATGGCCAGTGATGGTGAGCATTTTTTCATGTGTTTTTTGGTTGCATAAATGTCGTCTTTTGAGAAGTGACTGTTCATGTCCTTCGTCCACTTTTTGATGGGGTTGTTTGTTTTTTTCTTGTAAATTTGTTGGAGTTCATTGTAGATTCTGGATATTAGCCCTTTGTCAGATGAGTAGGTTGCGAAAATTTTCTCCCATTTTCTAGGTTGCCTGTTCACTCTGATGGTAGTTTCTTTTGCTGTGCAGAAGCTCTTTAGTTTAATTAGATCCCATTTGTCAATTTTGGCTATTGTTGCCATTGCTTTTGGTGTTTTAGACATGAAGTCCTTGCCCGTGCCTGTATCCTGAATGGTATTGCCTAGGTTTTCTTCTAGAGTTTTTATGGTTTTAGGTCTAACGTTTAAGTCTTTGATCCATCTTGAATTGATTTTTGTATAAGGTGTAAGGAAGGGATCCAGTTTCAGCTTTCTACATATGGCTAGCCAGTTTTCCCAGCACCATTTATTAAATAGGGAATCCTTTCCCCATTGCTTGTTTTTCTCAGGTTTGTCAAAGATCAGATAGTTGTAGATATGCGGCATTATTTCTGAGGGCTCTGTTCTGTTCCATTGATCTGTATCTCTGTTTTGGTACCAGTACCATGCTGTTTTGGTTACTGTAGCCTTGTAGTAGAGTTTGAAGTCAGGTAGTGTGATGCCTCCAGCTTTGTTCTTTTGGCTTAGGATTGACTTGGCGATGCGGGCTCTTTTTTGGTTCCATATGAACTTTAAAGTAGTTTTTTCCAATTCTGTGAAGAAAGTAATTGGTAGCTTGATGAGGATGGCACTGAATCTATAAATTACCATGGGCAGTATGGCCATTTTCACGATATTGATTCTTCCTACCCATGAGCATGGAATGTTCTTCCATTTCTTTGTATCCTCTTATTTCATTGAGCAGTGGTTTGTAGTTCTCCTTGAAGAGGTCCTTCACGTCCCTTGTAAGTTGGATTCCTAGGTATTTTATTCTCTTTGAAGCAATTGTGAATGGGAGTTCACTCATGATTTGGCTCTCTGTTTGTCTGTTATTGGTGTATAAGAATGCTTGTGATTTTTGTACATTGATTTTGTATCCTGAGACTTTGCTGAAGTTGCTTATCAGCTTAAGGAGATTTTGGGCGGACACAATGGGGTTTTCTAGATATACAATCATGTCATCTGCAAACAGGGACAATTTGACTTCCTCTTTTCCTAATTGAATACCCTTTATTTCCTTCTCCTGCCTAATTGCCCTGGCCAGAACTTCCAACACTATGTTGAATAGGAGTGGTGAGAGAGGGCATCTCTGTCTTGTGCCAGTTTTCAAAGGGAATGCTTCCAGTTTTTGCCCATTCAGTATGATATTGGCTGTGGGTTTCTCATAGATAGCTCTTATTATTTTGAGATATGTCCCATCAATACCTAATTTATTGAGAGTTTTTAGCATGAAGGGTTGTTGAATTTTGTCAAAGGCCTTTTCTGCATCTATTGAGATAATCATGTGGTTTTTGTCTTTGGTTCTGTTTATATGCTGGGTTACATTTATTGATTTGCATATATTGAACCAGCCTTGCATCCCAGGGATGAAGCCCACTTGATCATGGTGGATAAGCTTTTTGATGTGCTGCTGGATTTGGTTTGCCGTATTTTATTGAGGATTTTTGCATCAATGTTCATCAAGGATATTGGTCTAAAATTCTCTTTTTTGGTTGTGTCTCTGCCCAGCTTTGGTATCAGGATGATGCTGGCCTCATAAAATGAGTTAGGGAGGATTCCCTCTTTTTCTATTGATTGGAATAGTTTCAGAAGGAATGGTGCCAGTTCCTCCTTGTACCTCTGGTAGAATTCGGCTGTGAATCCATCTGGTCCTGGACTCTTTTTGATTGGTAAGCTATTGATTATTGCCACAATTTCAGAGGCTGTTATTGGTCTATTCAGAGATTCAACTTCTTCCTGGTTTAGTCTTGGGAGGGTGTATGTGTCGAGGAATTTATCCATTTCTTCTAGATTTTCTAGTTTATTTGCGTAGAGGTGTTTGTAGTATTCTCTGATGGTAGTTTGTATTTCTGTGGGATCAGTGATGATATCCCCTTTATCATTTTTTATTGCATCTATTTGATTCTTCACTCTTTTCTTCTTTATTAGTCTTGCTAGTGGTCTATCAATTTTGTTGACCCTTTCAAAAAACCAGCTCCAGTGGCAGCCAAGATGGCTGAATAGGAACAGCTCCGGTCTACAGCTCCCAGTGTGAGCGACGCAGAAGACGGGTGATTTCTGCATTTCCATCTGAGGTACCAGGTTCATCTGACTAGGGAGTGCCAGACAGTGGGCGCAGGACAGTGGGTGCAGCGCACCGTGCACAAGCCGAAGCAGGGCGAGGCATTGCCTCACTCGGGAAGCGCAAGGGGTCAGGGAGTTCCCTTTCCTAGTCAAAGAAAGGGGTGACAGACGGCACCTGGAAAATCGGGTCACTCCCACCCTAATACTGCGCTTTTACGGGCTTAAACAATGGCACACCAAGAGATTATATCCTGCACCTGGCTCGGAGGGTCCTATGCCCATGGAGTCTCCCTGATTGCTATCACAGCAGTGTGAGATCAAACTGCAAGGCTGCAGCGAGGCTGGGGGAGGGGCGCCCACCATTGCCCACGCTTGCTTAGGTAAACAAAGCAGCCTGGAAGCTTGAACTGGGTGGAACCCACCACAGCTCAAGAAGGCCTGCCTGCCTCTGTAGGCTCCACCTCTGGGGGCAGGGCACAGACAAACAAAAAGACAGCAGTAACCTCTGCAGACTTAAATGTCCCTGTCTGACAGCTTTGAAGAGAGCAGTGGTTCTCCCAGCACCAGCACACAGCTGGAGATCTGAGAACGGGCAGACTGCCTCCTCAAGTGGGTCCCTGACCCCTGACCCCTGAGCAGGCTAACTGGGAGGCACCCCCCAGTAGGGGCAGACTGACACCTCACATGGCCAGGTACTCCTCTGAGACAAAACTTCCAGAGGAATGACCAGACAGCAGCATTCACGGTTCGCGGAAATCCACTGTTCTGCAGCCACTGTGGCTGATACCCAGGCAAACAGGGTCTGAAATGGACCTCTAGCAAACTCCAACAGACCTGCAGCTGAGGGTTCTGTCTGTTAGAAGGAAAACTAACAAACAGAAAGGGCATCCACACCAAAAACCCATCTGTACATCACCATCATCAAAGACCAAAAGTAGATAAAACCACAAAGATGGGGAAAAAACAGAGCAGAAAAACTGGAAACTCTAAAAAGCAGAGTGCCTCTCCTCCTCCAAGGGAATGCAGTTCCTCACCAGCAACGGAACAAAGCTGGACGGAGAATGACTTTGACGAGTTGAGAGAAGAAGTCTTCAGACGATCAAACTACTCCGAGCTACAGGAGGAAATTCAGACCAAAGGCAAAGAAGTTAAAAACTTTGAAAAAAATTTAGACGAATGTATAACTAGAATAACCAATACAGAGAAATGCTTAAAGGAGCTGAAAGCCAAGGCTTGAGAACTACGTGAAGAATGCAGAAGCCTCAGGAGCCGATGTGATCAACTGGAAGAAAGGGTATCAGTGATGGAAGATGAAATGAATGAAATGAAGCAAGAAGGGAAGTTTAGAGAAAAAAGAATAAAAAGAAAGGAACAAAGCCTCCAAGAAATATGGGACTATGTGAAAAGACCAAATCTGATTGGTGTACCTGAAAGTGATGGGGAGAATGGAACCAAGTTGTAAAACACTCTGCAGGATATTATCCAGGAGAACTTCCCCAGTCTAGCAAGGCAGGCCAACATTCAGATTCAGGTCAGCTTTTTCAAATATGCTTATTGTATGACTTCTTTTGAAAACTATCTGTTCATATCCTCTGCCCACGTTTTAATGGGGTTGTTTGGTTTTCTTGTGAATTTATTTAAGTTTCTTATAGATGCTGGATATCAGACCTTTGTCAGATGCGTAGTTTGCAAAAAATTTCTCCCATTCTATAGGTTTTCTGTTGAATAATTTCTTTTGCTGTGCAGAAGCTCTTTAGTTTAATTAGATCTATTTGTCAATTTTTGTTTTAGTTGCAATTGCTTTTGGTGTTTTCATCATGAAGTATTTTCCTGTTCCTATGCCCAGAATGGTTTTGCCTAGTTCGTCTTTCAGGGATTTCATAATTTTGATTTACATTTAAGTCTTTAATCAATCTTTAGTTGACTTTTATATATGGTGTAAGGAAGGGGGTTAAGTATATGGTGTAAGGAAAGGGGTCAATCTTCTGCACATGGCTAGCCAGTTATCTCAGCACCATTTATTGAGTAGAAAGTCCTTTCCCCATTGATTGTTTTTGTCAGCTTTGTCAAAGGTCAGATGGTTGTAGTTGTGTGGTCTTATTTCTGGGCTCTCTATTCTGTTCCATTGGTCTGTGTGTCTGTTTTTGTACCAGTACCATGCTGTTTGGGTTACTTTAACCCTGCAGTATAGTTTGAAGTTGGGTAGTATGATGCCTCCAGCTTTGTTCTTTTTGCTTAGGATTACATTGGCTGTTTGAGCTTTTTTTGTTTGTCTCATATGAATTTTAAAATAGTTTTTTTCTAGCTCTGTGAAGAATGTCATTGATAATTTGTTAAAAATAACATTGAATCTACACATTGCTTTGGATCAGTATGGCCATTTTAATTATGTTGATTCTTCCTATGCATGAGCATGGAATATTTTTCCATTTGTTTGATTCCTTTGGGCAGTGTTTTGCGGCTCTCCTTGTAGGGATCTTTCACCTCCATAGTTAGTTAGCTGTATTCCTAGGTATTTTATTCTTTTTGTGGCAATTCTGAATGAGATTGTGTTCCTGATTTTGCTCTTGGCTTGTCCATTGTTGGTGTATAGGAATGCTAGGGATTTCTGTGCATTGATTTTGCATCCTGAGACTTCACTGAAGTTGTTTATCAGCTTAAGGAGTCTTTGGGCCAATACTATGGTGTTTTCTAGATATCAGATCATGTTGTCTGCAAACAGGGTTAGTTTGTCTTCCACTCTTCCTATGCAGATGTCCTTTATTTCTTTCACTTGCCTGATTACTCTGGCCAGGACTTCCAATATTACGTTGAACAGCAGTGGAGAGAGAGGACATCCTTACATTGTGCTGGTTTTCAAGGGGGAATGCTTCCAACTTTTGCCCATTCAATATGATGTTGGCTTTGGGTTTGTCATAG